>NW_013171810.1:0-168146 GCF_000001405.40 Homo sapiens
TTTGTTTTTTTCCCAGACATTTTGTTTCTTTCCCAGGTCTTTCATATTAAAGATACTAGAAAGAGATGCATGGATATGGGCACAGAACTCTGCCTAAAACATGCTATGTTCTTTCTTGAGATGCCAATATACTAGCTAAAAAGGCTCCATACTGAATCATTGCCAATTCACTTTTATGTGCAAGTGCATTATTTCGTACACTTTTTCTTTTCTAACATATATCATGGACAATATTCCCATCCTCTGGGCTTCCTTTAAAGCACAGAGTGAAGAGGCTTGAAGAGAGAGGAAAATAGTCTAGAATTCCCTTGGAGGGGTTAGAGTTTCATTTCTGAATACGAGGCTGAGTGTTGTAATGATATGGCACTGCTCATCTGGAATGTTATGACCGCAGGAAATAAAAAGTTTTAGTATCAAGATAAATAGATAGATTTAAAGCAAAAAAGAAGTAGTGCTTCTTGCTCATAGAATCAGTAAAAGGGAGATAAGTCTCCAAATATACACCATCTGTTCTCTAATCCTCCTCCAAGTTTTATTTCTATGAAAGTTCATTTGCCAACAAGCTAAAAAAATCTAGCTCCTATGAAAGGTTCTAGAGTAGTGTTTTGAAGGAGACAAGAGCTTCTTTTTCTAATTTTGAAGCAATAGAGAATTTTAGATTTCTGGCTGTTTGGCCTGTTGGGGGGTATGCTATTTAAAAGTTACCTAATGTTTGAGTTAGTTACCCAGGAAACCAACTAATTTATCACAAGTAAATTATACCAAGGTAAGTTAGGTGGCTCCTGAAGGAAAACCAATACATCAGTCCATTTTATTGTATTCTCTAGCTAGTTCACAAATAAATTGTGTCCTGGTATTGAACTCATAATAAAGAGTAACTAAAGATACAAAAAAGTATTAAGAATGGAGGCCTTTTATTTATTTATTTTTTTAGATAACATACTTAAGAGTGGGCTTAAACCAGCAAAAGAGGAAAGAAAATAGCTAGGAAAATAAAACAAAAATAAAGTCTAAGAGTGGTAGTCTGTCTTGTTTCATGTACCTTGGGCAACCACTGTCTACATCTCAAAAAGCAAAGTATTTGATTCAAAAGTCATGGGAGAAGCTATCTTTTTATGGAAACTGGTTTCAGAAGGATCCTGACTTCTCAAATTGAGGTCTCTGGGTGGGACCATCTTCCAGTGATTTGAGGATGGTTTTGTTGTTTTTGTTGAGATATGAATTATAAATGTCAATTCTTTGGAGTTTCACTGCTCAGATAGCTAATAGTATCTGATAGAAGTCTTTCCATCAGTGTTTAAGAAATGTGATTTTCTACTGCCTCATCCAAAAGACCAGATATTCAGGGAATAAGTTTTGCATAGATGATTTAGGAGGACGTTGAGGAATGGCTGCCTATGCCTATTGATAAGAATGGGTGCATTGCATTAGTCTTTCAAAATATGTGGCCATGTCTGCTGGTATAAATATGGAGTTTAGAATAGATGGTATTGCTAGGTATATGGTTATCAAATTATAATGGGAAATTTGAAGCATTTTGTAAAATAATAAGAAATACATATATTGGACTCTGCCCCGAGTTGTTGAGAGTTCTTAAGACCTTTGTAATTTCCTGAATATAGGGCCATCTGACACAAAGCTTCTAAATCTCTTGGAATTTCCCAGGTAATAAGAGCGTCTTTTGTTATAATTAAGCCATACTTTTTGGGATCTTGGATAGCTTCAGGGTGGAGGCTAGCTGTTAGGGGATCCAAACATTTGATTAAAGGATTGGGACTTTCAGCCCCAACTATGACCTGTAGGGAGGGGAAAAGGACTGAAGGCTGGGTTTATCACCAATTGTCAATGATTTAATTAATCGTTGTCTAGTTTCCTGTGCACCTTAAGTCTCTGCATTGTCCCCACCTACTTCCTGCCCCAGATTTATGGGAGTCTCCCTTACTGCTAGTTGATGAATGCTGGGGGCCAGCTCTTGGATATGAATCCTACCTAATGGCAACATTGCTCATTGCTGCCACTCAGGAAAATCATATAGCAGTTAAATCTGTACTTACTGCACCTGCGTATGTGTTAGGAATTTCCCCATTGGCCTCTCTCCCTCCTTATCAGCATGTAGCTAACAACATTCTGATAGTGTGACTGCAGAATAAGTGATTATTGAGCTTCTTACAAGGTGCTCTGGGGCATTCCTTTCTGCTTAGGTATTTCCCCTCCTCTCTGCTTATATCTGGCATGCATGTTTCCAGTGGTCCCTGGGGTGTTAGATTTTCCAGAGCTTCCTTTCTCATGGGCTCCCCCTTCCTGTTCATGTCTAGGTATCTGCCTACTCTGATAATAACTCATTTCAAGAGAAACGTATTAAAAATCTATTTGGAGACATTTGAAATGGTTCTGAGGTTTAGGCTTCTGTATGTCACACCTTAAAAATTTATCAGGATTATCATGGTAACAGATACACCCGAAACAGATTTAGAAGTTTTAGCATAAATGTTTATCAACAAAATTTGTTGGGCAATTTGTCCTTGCAGTGGTGGCAATTTTGTATAAAATGTTTTCAAGGCTCCACCTGAGATCCTCCAGTGCAACACAGCAGCCAATTTAAGGGTGCCAAAGATTAGTCTCTTGCTTGACATTGTAATTTCTCCCAGTATGTTTTCTAATAGGAGATAATTATGGGGATTTAAAATTTTCTCTTTAAACCTCTCCAAAGATTTGTCTTCTTGATATGTTATAAGTACTAGGATCTTATCATGAGAGTCTGTCTGGAGAAATAATCATACAGAAAATTTCCTTTAGCTTCTCTACATCTATCCTTTTCTTCATGAGTTTCAACATTTATAATAGCCATCACCATAGAATGTATTAGGGCATGCAAGGTTCATTTAATATGCTAATCATTCTTCATTGGGTCACTGCTGAGGTCAGGGAATTTTGTTGTTTCCAATAGTTTCTGAAATTATGTATCACCACAAAAGAATCTTCCATTATCAGTGTATACATAAGTCCTCTTATCTCCAGCTAACTATCAAACCCTAGAGAGCTTGATTTATTTCTGCCATCTTGGCAGAATTTTCCTATGAGGTAATTTTTCTATGTTACAGCTTTAATATTCTCCTTTTTCATTCTTAAGGTATGACCCAGCCACAGAAAATTTTTGACTTAATTTTCCAAAGGGATTTCTAGTAAGTCTGAGTGGTGTTTTTTTGTTTTTATTTTGGATTGATAGGATAGTATTAGGAAGATTGAGATAAAATGCGAATTCCTTTTCTACCAGTCTTTGACTGTTGGTTTTAACTTCTTATTTGAAAAGGTATAGCTGATAATTTTAAAAAGTACCATCCTTTAAAAAAAATTTAAAAGTTATTTATTTATTTGCTTCTAGTTTTAAAGAGTATAATACAAGTTTCAGTAGAGGATTTTTTGGGTCGATCTGAACCTTCATGGGTTCAGCACCAATAATTCTACCTATGGCATGACATTTTTGCCTACACATTACTTAGCATATTCTTCAGATCTTCAGTTTGGGTTTAATATAGACACAAAGGTACCTCTAAGTAAATGTCCAAATTAGATATGACCATTTATGAATGGGAGAGTTCTCAAATTCAAGAAAGGACATTAAAAAGGAAAATTTTATTTATACTGTAAGTTATTCCCTATTAAGTTAATGGTTGTGATGTAACAGAGGAAGAAAAACCCCCTGGTTCAGGTGTGAGCATGAAAGAAAGGATATAGGGAATGTCTGAGAATTATTAGAGATTACTAGTTCCTGAGTAGTTTGTTGACTCTGAGAAAAAGTTTGTGTAACAGTTGTAAGGTTAATGTCAGTATCATAGCATCATATCAACTCTTTTTTTTTTTTTTGCACACCTGATCTTTAGTATTTAAAGAAATTTGTGTGTGTATGTAAGTTTAAGGGCAATGTGGGAAATTGAGTGCTTGATCTGTCCTCAGTACCTTCCGTGATTATTGGAATTTTTTCTTCCAGTTTCTCAGCTCATGTAGACCTATTTTGTTCAAAATCCTTTCTCTTTAAAGTATCTAAATGTATCTTTATCAAGATACTCCCTCCTTTGATGCTTAATTCCTGGAGTAGAAGTAGCTAATTGTTTTATCAGAAAGGCCAGCAATTTATGCTGAGTCTTAATCTGTTTTGGAATCAAGGACCTGTTCAGTGAGATAATGGAGGCCTGGTAATTACTAAGTTTTATTTACAATAATAATCTAAAAAATATATTTTTACGACTGCATAAACAGAATTTTAGAAAATATTATAAACACTGATGCAGACATACAAGGCTTTTTTCCCTAATATTTTTTATATTTAAAACTGTTCTTCACAGGTCCATGTTTCTGTACCTTACCATATTGTGAATACGTTAGTGTTCACGATACATTGCAATGTTGTGGGGTTTTTTTGTTTGTTTTCTTTTGTTTTTTTTTTTGAGACGGAGTCTCGCTCTGTCTCCCAGGCTGGAGTGCAGTGGCGCGATCTCGGCTGACTGCAAGCTCCGCCTCCCGGGTTCACACCATTCTCCTTCCTCAGCCTCCTGTAGCTGGGACTACAGGCACCCGCCACCAAGCACGGCTAATTTTTTTTTTTTTTTTTTTGCATTTTTTTCTTTTTCTTTTTTTTTTTAATTTTTTTTTTTATTATACTTTAAGTTTTAGGGTACATGTGCACATTGTGCAGGTTAGTTACATATGTATACATGTGCCATGCTGGTGCGCTGCACCCACTAACTCGTCATCTAGCATTAGGTATATCTCCCAATGCTATCCCTCCCCCCTCCCCCCACCCCACCACAGTCCCCAGAGTGTGATATTCCCCTTCCTGTGTCCATGTGATCTCATTGTTCAATTCCCACCTATGAGTGAGAATATGCGGTTAGTAGAGACGGGGTTTCACTGTGTTAGCCAGGATGGTCTCGGTCTCCTGACCTCGTGATCCGCCCGCCTCGGCCTCCCAAAGTGCTGAGATTACAGGCGTGAGCCACTGCAATGTTTTTTAAACTGTGACTACACTTGTTTATCATAAAAAGAAAAACAGAGATTCATGCCCAACTGCCTAACTAAACATAAGAAAGGAATATATTTGAAATTCAGCATGTTGCATATAGTAAGGGCAAATATATATCACGCAAGTTATGTAAGATATACTTATTCTTCAGGAATGTAAAGAAAGTTGGAAAGCCAGTTATCTACTACACATTCACTTAATATGATGCTCTGTTAAATGACTTTTTTCCTGTATATTTTATTTTATTTTATTTTTTGAGACGGGGAGTCTCGCTGTGTCACCAGGCTGGAGTGCAGTGGCGCGATCCATCTCTGCTCACTCAACCTCCGCCTCCCGGTCCAAGCATTCTCCTGCCTCAGCCTCATGAGTAGCTGGGATTACAGGCTCCTGCTACAATGCCAGGCTAGTTTTTGTATTTTTTAGTAAAGACGACATTTCACTTTGTTGGCCAGGCTGATCTAAAACTCCTGACTTCAAATTATTCACCTGCCTCGGCCTCCCAAAGTGCTGGGATTATAGGCGTGAGCCACCACACCTGGCCGATTTTTTTTTTCTTTCAAATAAAAAATCAATTCAATATAATTGTAGCTAAATTAATATAGACTCCATCAAACATAGTACCTATACTTTGATCATTCTCTGATGATTATTATCCAAAGTATCACATTTATAACTCAACCTAAAGGATGTACTTACTTGGGGTAAATAGCTGTACTTAGAAGTCATATTCCCATTGTGTCAGTAAAATCAGGGAGAGATTTTTACAGCAGATAGCCTAAGAATGTTTTTGGCCTCATGCTGAAGATTTTTTGTAAACCTCAGTCTGCCTAAAAACTGGCATTGCTTCTATTTCTATATCAAAGTAAAAGTATCCATAGCTTGGAGATAGGCACAAGAGATCTGTGGGTGTTATTTCAGAGCAGTGCTAACCTTGCATCTTTGATGGACTTTTCCATTGACTAGGCTGTATTATAATTCTGTATGGATAGAGTTTAATTTGTGGGTTTTTTGTTAGTGGAGGTCCAAATCACTTCTAAGTGCAAAACATAACCCAAAGTTTGTGATTTATTGCCATATTGGACATTGACCAGTTTGTATCTATCTTAGAATTCTTATATGATCATTCTTTTATCAAATTACCTGTTAGATACATAGATTCTGAAATATTCGAAAAGGCACTAAAAACTTATTGGCTCCTTCTTTAACTGATAAAGTAAATAAAATGTTTTACATGCATTTATTTTATATATATAGAAACTATTTTACATACATTTTGGAAATAATTTAACACTTTAAGTCAGTGAATTTTCAGCGTTTGTTTGTTCAAATACAAATTAGATTATATATTCCTTAGTGATTTCTTCTTAGTTCTTGTGGATATCAAACTTCTGTCTTCTTTGTTGACAGTCCAGTTTTCATGGTTGCTACTACTCTAGATTCTGTAGATGTGCTAAGAGTAAAGACAAATGGCATCAGTCAGGTCAACACCATATGAGATGTATTTTGACATTTGCATTGTTAGTGTGTTCCCTTTCCATAAAAACTAATCTGCATCAAAGACATTCTAAGAAAAAAATCCCACTAAAAATAATTATATAGCGTATGAATATGTCGTTACACATGGGGATAGCATCTTGTGCCAACTAACGTTGTCTGAAATATTGATCATGGCTCTCTTGAATTTCTAGTTCCCACCAGATAAAGGATATGGTGTCAAAATTTAACAGGATGTTAGTCCTAAAATAATCTCATTAACATAAATCATTTTGGCAGTGAATGATAAGGGCTTTCCTTAAACTTTTCAAATATAATAGATTATTGTAAAGGATATATTGCATTAAAACAACTGAGAAAATGATCTGCTGAACTGGAAGCAACACCAAAAAAAAATATATAGACACTTTTTTTGCTAAAATGGAAAAAGTATGAACTTTGAAAGCAAATGGAAAGAATTCCATGCCCAATTAATTTTTATCATTATTTTTCGAAAAGAGATAATAAAATTCATGTTATTCATTTTGTTAAAAAGTTATAAGGGCAAACTCCAAGTGAAGCAAAATATGTGAAAGTCTTGTTTAATGATAAGATTTACACACGTTAAAGAGTTTACTAAGTATACGTGTGCATGCAATATAATATTGTAATGCAATATAATGTTATGCCTAAGTGTATTATTACATTGCCCTACAACTGGATAGTTTGCATGAAGCATGGTATCCATCTATAGTAAACTTGCTCAAGACTAGAGTTACAAAAACTACAAAAATATCACTGACCATAGTAGATCAAAATAAAAAATGATCTGTTGAAAAAAAAACATACATGACTTCCTGGAAATCTATTTTGTTAAGAGTCTTTTTATATTGCTAGGTTATGACTAGAACAAAATGAAATAATTTTCTCTGCTACTGGTTTATGTTTAACATCTAAATTCACAAATTTCTTTCATTATTGTTTTAAAAATAATGATAATTTTGTATATTGGCATAAGATTTTCATTTTGAAAAAAATTAACAGGCATTATGCCATAAATTTTCATGACTCTAGAAAGTATCAAGTCAATAATCAGTACATTCATATAATGTGGAAGTAAGTAGGTATAGGGAGGTTAAGTGAATTAAGGAATATAAGTGCTATACAAGTGAAAACTCCCAAAGCCTGTATATTTAATATTCTGAAAAATAAAGTAGATTCTTATAAAACAGAAACTGTGATATTTATCTTTTGTGTTATTCTTGGCTCTTAGAAGAGTACTACCAACTTAACAGCACAATAAATAAGTGTTGAAGATGAACCAAACAAAAATAACATAGCATACAAATATTTAGGTGATGATATTATCTGGCTCTGTGTCCCCACCGAAATCTCATCTTGAACTATAATCTGAATTGTAATTCTCACATGTTGGGGAAGGGAGCTTGTGGGAGGTGATTAGATCATGAGGGACATTCCCCTATGCTATTCTGATGATAGTGAGTTCTCACGAGACCTGATGGTTTTATAGGGCACTTTTGCCCTTCACTCTGCACTTCTCTCTTGCCCTCCTGCCACCATGTGAAGAAGGACGTGTTTGCTTCCCCTTTCACCATGATTGTAAGTTTGCTGAGGCCTCCCCAGCCATGCCGAACTGAGCCAATTAAATCTCTTTCCTTTATAAATTACCCAGTCTTGGGTATTTCTTTATAGCAGCATGAGAACAGACTAATACAGGTGATTAGAATTTAGTGTAAAGAAAAGTTTATAAAACAAAATAGATAAGTCAAATATGTAGTAGAAAATTTACCTTTCATTGTACAGTTTTGAGTCATTTTATTTATAATCCAACATTTTATGCTATATTTGTATACATGTGTATGTGTATATACATACACAAACACACAGTAATCATAATAATTAATGGAAAGTTTCTTCTAAGGTGCTGCAATAACTTGAATTACCCAAGAAATATGATTGTATTGATTTTCTTATCAAAAACTTCCTTTCAAGAAAATACTGCATTTGAAGACTACAAAATACTGTGGTTTCATTAGCAAATTTTACAATGTTATGCCAGATATACTGGGTGGTATGTGGCCACCCTAAAGAGACAAGATGAACACCTATGCAAAATGAGTTCAACATAGACACAGATGACACCACACACACCAAGCAGGTATGAAGAATTTTAATATTTTCATAGTGAGGCTTTTCTGGTGAGGACAGGGTATATATCCCAAGCAGTCCAAAAATGGCTTGAGACATCAGGGAAAGGAGACTGGTTTGGAGGCTTTTTGTTGTGGTTAGGCAGAGGATTACATGATTGGAATTTCCTGCAGGTGCCAAAAGAGTAAGAACTTGGGGTTTCTTATAAGCTTGATCAGATGTGGGGCAGAAGGGGAAAAGGAAGGTGTGAGTTTTAAGAGCGGTCCATAGTCAGACATGAAAAATAAAAACTGGAGTTAGATTCCATATGATGGGAGACAATAGAGTGTTAGTGTTAGTAATACTGCCTTGGCAATTTTTATCAACTCTCCTTGAAGGTTTTCAGGTTTCAGTTTGAATGCTCAGCCCCAAATTCTGACTTTTCTCTGACATGGACTCTGTGATTTTGAAAATTTACACAATCTCTCTGTGCTTATTTTCTTTTCTCTTTAATAGTGCAACCCAGTACGTTATTGTGAGAAGTAAAAATAACCTAACCATGCATATGACCAATAATGAGTATCTGGAAATTATTAACTATTATATTTATGACTAGAAAAATAAATTCAATGTTATATTTTGAACAATTTTAGCTATTTTAATGAGAGAAATAAATAAATGCAATTATACATGGCAATATACAGCATTTTCATTGTGGTCCTGACCTTTTGCACTGACAAGGATGCTATACATGTTACAGATGTCTTATAGGGCAGCAGATACAGCCAGTTTTCTAGGGCGCACAGCTCTTATTTTTTTCCCCTTACTTAGACGGGCTGATTTTTCCAATGTGCACAATAACTTACATTTAGAATTTTTTAAGGAATACTGCTAATAAGAAAAACAGTACATTAATCAAATAACAAATATATAAACTAAGTATTTTTGTTTCTTTAGGTGAAGATATTGTTGTATTTCTTTGTGGAGCAGGTTAACCTTTAGTTAGCTAACATATTTAATGAAAGATACCAAATATCTGTATTATTAAATTCATGTAATTAATTTTGTTTCGACAACATACAAGTGAAAGGTTATTCCCTAGATTTGTTTTTCCTTTTCTCTTATTTTTCGCTTGTGTAACTTCCTTTCTAATTGTCATGTGATTATATCTCACAGACATTGTATGCCTGTTACAATCCATTCTGTATTTGCCAAATGTTTTAAGAAGTGATACTTTTTAGTTTGTCCCATTGTGCTACCAAGCTCAATTAGAAAAATTATAGTCACAATTGTTGATTTAAAAAGAGTCTTCGAAAAAGTTGAACCTCTTAAAATTATTGGGAGAGTTAACTTATGAAACATGTTTTGAAGATTGATGCATAATAAATGCTCAACAAATGTTATGCATTATTTAATATTGGAAGAAAAGATATACACTAGATATACACTATTTTAAAAGTTGTTTAGATAATTCTGAAGGTGTATAGTTTTGATTTTAATATTATGCTTTGGATCACTAAAAATAAAACAGTAACTTTATATCTCTAACTAAGTATATAAAAAGATAGAATTTAGTAAAATATGTTCAGGAATCATGTCCAAATCAAAATGAAGATAAATAAATAGCCTGTCCAACTTTGTTCTTATAAGTGGTAGAGAAGGGGTTAATTTAGAAATGAGATTATAATTGTAACATCGCAATAGGGTACCCTTGAAAGGAGAAGGGACCTACTGGAGGCCATTGTACAATTGATGCATATTCTATTGTTATAAGAAAAAAAGGTGAGAAAACATAATAAAAATATCATTTTTCTAAAATGGCACAAGATTCATAAAACCTGTTGGGTTTTAAATGCAAGGTGCTGGCAAATTCATAGCATGAATACATACCCATCCTTAGAGGGAATGGAGGACGGAAATTTCAGAATTATCAACAATAGCCTAGAATCTGCTCAGACTGATTATTCAGGAAAGCTAAAAGTGAACAATTATGGAATTTCCCCAGAAGGCAATGATCTACAAACCCACAGAATACTTGAACAAAACAGTGGCCACTGGGACATGTTACCAAAATTGTCTTAGGCGTCTTGTTCATGACTTATTAAGATAAGTTTGTGCTTTCTTAAACCTAAGAAAAATATTTAACAGGGCTTTCTGGCTAAAATTCCATATATATTTCATCATTACAGTACCAGAAATAGAAAAGTAAATGGAACAATGGAAAATAAGGACGTTAACATGTTGTTGGCTATACCTGAAAGATGAAAATCTCAGAGAGTGTTGAAGACTGGGGATGCACATTGTAAATTTGTTTAAGAAAATATTAATTCCATGCTACCTCTTAAGAAAGAACATAATATTTTGCAGCCCAAAAATTATATGTATGTATGTATGTATGTATGTTATCTGTCTGTCTGTCTGTCTATCTTCTATCTATCTATCGATCTTTCATCTATGTTCTTTATGCTTTTGGGAGACAATTCTCCATGGATCTCTGACCTTTCCACACATATTGTGACAGAAAAACTGACTGTGCTTTATTCCAAACTAACTTTATGAGGGATGTCTTATGGCAAACAGCATTGAAAGATAAAGTCTCCCTTCAAAGCAAAAGGCATGTTTGCTTAAATCCTTGAAAAACATAGTGCCCTCTCAGATGCAAATGGCAAGCATGCTTAATCTTCACTGTAAAAACTATAGGTTCCCTAAGTTCAAGGTTCCTCTTATATAACCCAATCCACTGTTTGTGCTAGTATCAACTGGCTTTCTTTCTGTCACCCTGTGAGAATTGGGGCTTGGGGAACCGGTATAAAAAATGCTGATACTCTAGCCATTGCTATTGCTCTAAATATACTCTTTTGACCTAGGAATCTTATGTCTTCTGCCCAAATCCATAAAACTGTGGCAGGCTAATTTGCTAGGCTATAAGTAAGATAAAGCCTCAAACCCTTACCAGTCTTACATGTACTGGATATGGCATTGAGAATAATTTTTTGTGTAAATAACTGTTGCAATGCATAGGGATTGTCTTGTGTTTTTGGTGTTTTCAAGCTTATGGATACTGATGTGATAATTACACAGTACCTAATGGCTCTTTGTACTATTTGTAGGCGAGGTTATCCTGAGAGATTTCTAGTTATATTAATCCAAATTTTGGAAATGTTATAGTAACTACACACATTCTAATTTAGCTGGTCTCAAGAGATACACAATAAAGCAGAACTGGTTTCTATAGAAAAATCTCATGGGGCAGGGCTGGCCTCATATTCTGCTGCTTTCTTGCCCCAAAGGAACCACCACACCATTGGTTGACTACAAGCTTGTTGTTAGGGTGAAAATCACAGGAGAATAACAATTGGGATATTTCTGGAGAAAAGCCTGATTCTCAGGGTCTTACGGTACCTTGAAAAAAATTTTGTCCTAATTTTCGAGAGGGAAAACATTTGAGGGAACGTTTAAGCTTCTCTTTTCTTCTGTGAGAAAGAGTATCTCATTTGTTTTGTGAGAAGGAATACCTAAAGTTTGGAAGCAATGTCAATCAGGAGAGAGGATTTGTGCATGAAAA
Source organism: Homo sapiens (assembly GCF_000001405.40). Lineage (NCBI taxonomy): Eukaryota > Metazoa > Chordata > Mammalia > Primates > Hominidae > Homo > Homo sapiens. The sequence continues at coordinate 12,207 of NW_013171810.1, forward strand.
AGGTCAGTCTTGAAAACTAGCTTGCAAACATTGCCTTTTGGACTCTTGTGCTGAGATATGCGGTATATCTGCATGTAAGCGGTGCAACAGAAGCTCCAGCTGTGTCTCTGCTCCCCAAGTTCCAATTTCTCAGCTTGAAATTAGATACAATAAGTCAGGACTGAAAAGTCACCAAAGTTCAGGCTTAGGGAAAAAAAAAGAGATGAGAGATTCTGCTAAGATTTCAATTATTATTTATTAATTAAAATCAAGCAGATGATATAGGTTGATCCGTAGTTGGAGCGTGCATTTGTTTTTCATTTGTCAAAAACCTAGAAACTAGGAGTGACTAATACCATAATCAACCTTCAGTAATGAGGCAATAAAGAAAGTCTTGAAATGTAGTTCATTTTATGCTAAATAAAAGCTTCCTATGATTAAACTCTTGCACTTTTCTGATGGGATCTCCATGCTATACACAGATTAATATTTCCAAATCACAAAATGATCTTATTAATTTTCTGCACAGAAAGTTTACATTGCTCCATCCTTATTTTTTATTTTATTTTATTATTATCATTTTTTTAGGATAAAAGCCATTTTCCATACAACGGTGTGGAAAATCCTTAAGCTTCTGAGGCCTGTTTATTTTTTTAGGCTCATTTTCCCCTCCTGCTTTATTAAATGTCTTACCGTTTCTTTCCAGCTCCCTTCAAGAATCAGGTCAGTGTTTCTCCTTCAGGAACATTCAATACTCTTCTCTTCCTCAATTTAATTTAGATACTCCCCTGGTACACTGTCACAGCACTTATTGTATTAAATTGCAAACATTTATCTACTTGTCTGTTTCCTTCAGTGGACTGAGTTCTTCGAGGACAAGAAGCTTACCATTCATTTGCTCTCACTCTGCACCCAACTTTTAGCATATTACCATATACCTCTGGATAAAAACTTTTGAAATGTTGAGTCCCTAAATGGCATAGTGCTCAAAACACTAGCCTGTTGTCCAAATCCTAAGGAACTGGTAGGACTGGACGGAGAGATTCTTGAAATAGAATCTACAGAAGTTGGAGTCTGGAATCTGTAGTTTTAAAAACATTATAGGTTATTATAAAAATCCAATTGAGGCTGGGCACGGTGGCTCACGCCTGTAATCCCAAGCACTTTGGGAGGCCAAGATGGGTGGATCACGAGGTCACGAGATCAAGACCATCCTGGCTAACACAGTGAAACCCTGTCTCTACTAAAAATGCAAAAAATTTAGCCGGGCATGGTGGTGGGCACCTGTAGTCCTAGCTACTCTGGAAGCTGAGGCAGGAGAATGGCCTGAACCCGGGAGGTGGAGCTTGTAGTGAGCCGAGATTGCGCCACTGCACTCCAGCCTGGGAGACAGAGCGAGACTCTGTCTCAAAAAAAAAAAAAAAAAAAAAAAATCCAATTGAAAACCTCTTCTCTAATACCTGCCTTAAGATTTATTTAGCTTTTGATTTTAATTTTCATTTTCTGCATCTCACTCTTCTCATCTTATAGTTGACTCTACTGACTGTTCTAGGTTAAACAACTAAAATTCTAATAATAGTAATCATATAGCAGATTAAATATTTGTGTTAACGTGGTCATTATGAAGTTTATTATCCTAGAATACCAGAAACGCATTTTAGGGCACATTATTTTAGCTGTTTCTCTGAGAGAAATCTTTGAAGTGATTAAGCAATCCTTAATGCTTGTCCAATTGATGTAGGGAAACTGTAGTTACATGGTTTGTTGCCTAGTATTGTTTCCTTAGGGGACTATTTGCATAGTAAACGATAGGAATATTTAACACTTTGTTTTTTAAAAATATGATATAGGCTGTAATGATTTAAAGTATACAATAAAGTTATAAATTATCACTTATTTTCTCTTTCTTCCAATGTCAGACTTAGCTAAGTACTACACACGATATTTACATAAAAATAATGTGATATAGTTTGTGTCTCCACCCAAATCTCATCTTGAATTGTTCTCTTATAATTCCCACGTATTGTGGGAAGGACCTGGTGGGAGATAATTTGAATCATGTGGGCAGTTTCCCCATAGTGTTCTCATGATAGTCAATAAGTTTCACAAGATCGGATGGTTTTATCAGGGGTTTCCACTTTTGTATATTTCTCATTTTTTTTCTCTTGCCGCCACCATGTAAGAAGTGCCTTTCACCTCCTGCCGTCATTCTGAGGCCTCTTCAGCTGTGTGGAACTGTAAGTGCAATGAAATCTCTTTTTCTTCCCAGTTTCGGGTATATCTTCATCAGCACTATGATAATGGACTAATACAGTAAATTGGTACAAGTAGAGTGGGGCATTGCCGAAAAGATACCCAAAAATGTAGAAGCAACTTTGGAACTGGGTATCAGACAGAGGTTGGAACAGTTTGGAGGGCTCAGAAGAAGACAGGAAAATGTGGGAAAGTTTGGAACCTCCTAGAGACTTGTTGAATGGCTTTGACAAAAATGCTGATTGTGATATGAACAGTGGGTCCAGGCTGAGATGGTCTCAGATAGAGATGAGGAACCTGCTGGGAACTGGAGCAAAGATGACCCTTGTTATGTTTTAGCAAAGAGACTGGTGGCATTTTGCCCTTGCCCTAGAAATTTGTGGAGCTTTGAACTTGAGAGAGATCATTTAGGGTATCTGGCAGAAGAAATTTCTAAGCAGCAAAGCATTCAAAAGGTGACTTGGATGCTGTTAAAAGCATTTCATTTTAAAAGGGAAACAGAGCATAAAATTTCAGAGAATTTGTAGCCTGATGATGCAGTAGAAAAGAAAACCCATTTTTTAAGAAGAAATTCAAGCTGGCTGCAAAAATTTGCATAAGTAACAAGGAGCCAAAGTTAATCCCTGACAATGGGGAAAATGTCTGCAGGGAATGCCAGAGGTCTTCATGGTAGCCCCTCCCATCACAAATCCAGAAGCATAGGAGGAAAAAATGGTTTTGTGGGCCAACCCCAGGGTCCTCATGCTGTGTGCAGCCTAGGGACTTAGTGCCCTGTGACCCAGCCACTCCAGCCATTGCTAAAAGGGGCCAAGGTACAGCTCGGCCCACGGTTTCAGAGGGTGCAAGCCCCAACCCTTGGCAGCTTCCACGTATTGTTGAGCCTGCGGGTACACAGAAATCAAGAATTGAGGTTTGGGAACCTTCATCTAGATTTCAGAAGATGTTTGGAAATGCCTGGATGCCCAGGCAAAAGTTTGCTGCAGGATCGGGGCCCTCATGGAGAACCTCTGCTAGGGCAGTACAGAAGGGAACTCTGGGTTTGGAGCCCCCATACAGAGTCCCTACTAGGGCACCACCTAGGGGAGCGCTGACAAGAAGGCCACTGTCCTCCAGACCCCAGAATGGTGGATCCACTGACAGCTTGCACCATGCGCCTGGAAAAGCCACAGAGACTCAATGCCAGCCTGTGAAAACAGCCAGGAGGGGGGCTATGCTCTGCAAATCCACAGGGGCGAAGCTGCCCAAGACTATGGGAACCTATCTCTTGCATCAGGGTGACCTGGATGTGAGACATGGCATCAAAAGAGATCACTTTGGAGCTTTAGAATTTTACTGCCCTGCTGGATTTTGAACTTGCGTGGACCCTGTATCCCCTTTGTATTGGTCAAATTCTCCCATTTGGAATGGCTGTATTTACCCAATACCTGTACCTCCGTTGCATCTAGGAAGTAAGTAGCTTTCTTTTGATATTACAGGCTCATAGGCAGAAGGGACTTGCCTTGTCTCAGATGAGACTTTGGACTGTGGACTTTTGGGTTAATGCTGAAATGAGTTTAAGACTTTGGGAGACTGTTGGGAAGGCATGACTGGTTTTGAAATGTGAAGACATGAGATTTAGAGGGGTCAGGGTGGAATTATATGGTGTGGCTCTGTGTCCCCACCCAAATTTCATCTTGAATCATACTCTCATCATTCCCACATGTTGTGGGAGGGATCCAGTGGGAGATAATTTGAATCATGGGGGCGGTTTCCCCCGTACTGTTCTCATGGTAGTGAATAAGTCTCATGAGATCTGATGATTTTATCAGTAGTTTCCACTTTTGCATCTCTCCCATTTTTTCTCTTGTCATCGCCATGCAAGAAGTGCCTTTCACCTCCCGCAATGATTCTGAGGCCTCCTCAACCGTGTGGAACTGTAAGTCCAATTAAACCTCTTTTTCTTCCCAGTTTTGGGTATGTCGTTATCAGCAGTGTGAAAATGAACTAATACATGCACCAGGCACATGGTGCAAGCTGTCAGTGGATCTACCATTCTGGGGTCTGGAGGACAGTGGTCATCTTCTCAGAGCTCAACTAGGTGGTGCCTAGTAGAGACTCTGTGTGGGGGCTCCAAACCCAGATTTCCCTTCTGCACTGCCTTAGCAGAGGTTCTCCATGAGGGTCCCGATATGGTAGATTACTCTCTGGCACACGTGAAAACACATAAACATAATCTTGTGGACATAAGTCAATAGAAATTCCATTTTTTGTTTTGTTTTCTTGATTTTTCCTTATAGTTCCATTACTTTATCTTACATGTCTTCCATGGCTCTGTGAGCCAAAAATATTACATGGTTATCCACATGTTAGATGAGGACAGAGATTATGGCTGCAAGCATGCTGGGCTGGTTTTGTTACCTTGGATAATTCTGCTTATTGGTCCTATAAAGAAACATTTCTGCAAAGAGCATCAGAAATTGTAGATGTTTAATTGTAACTCTCTCCCATTCCATCAAATTCCATATCTTTTTAAAGCTTTTTTAAAGCTCAATTTAAATAGTACTTTGCAAACCTTTTAAAAATACTGACTGTGTTAATGAGCCATGTAAAGTATATCAAATGAAATCAACTTCATATTAATTTTCCTGAAGTTAGAGATTTTAACAGTTTAGTGTAGCTAATGTTGAAAAGTTCCTGTATGGGTTCTAGAACCCTGAATCAAGGAATTTCACTCTTTCTAGTAGGGGTCATATGGAGCAGGACTTCTGTCCTACACAATTTAATAGCACCTTAGAAGTCAAAAAGAAAATAAATGGAAGACTAAACTGTAAAGAATCTGTGGTGAAAGGAATCTCACATTTTTACTAAAGTCCTTCCATGATAACACTTAAAGTACCACAGCCGTCTTTGGGTTATCAGCAGTGTGATAATTTAAAAAAAACTAATCACAATATTATTTACTATTAATCCCTTCAAGTTGTGAGGTTTATATTCCTTATCCTTAAATTTAGATAAAGTGACTACTTTGAGCAATAGAGTATGATGGAAGTGACTTTATGTGACTTTCAATATTAGATTATAAAGGAGATGCAGTTTCCGTCTTGTTCTTTCATTTTATTTTTCTTTGACGCATAAAGATTTTACACATTTCTGTGGTACGTGTGATATTTTGATACATCCATACAAGGTGTAGTGATCAAATCAGGGTATTTAGGATATGCAGTACCTCAAACATTTATCGTTTCTTTGTTTTGGGGACATTCTAAATCTATTTCTAGCCATTTTGAAACATACAATGGATTATTGCTAACTATAGTCACCTTACTGTGCTATCCAACACTAGAACATATTCCATCTACCTAACTGCTTGAGATCAGATCTGGAAAGTTTTGCTACAATAATGAGTGTAAAGAAGTCAAGCCATGTTCAGGTGTCCTGATGACAATCTTAAATGAGCCCCGTTGTTTCTATCATTTGAGATCACCTGTCTGAAATGTGATTGAAGAAACCTCCAGATGAGTCCAAGTCCCATACATGAAGTTATTCAGTTTTCGAGTCTTCACAGCTAAGGTCTCAGCCATAAGGAGAAAGGGCAAGTTATGTCCTTAGTGGTGAGTGCCTCACTCACAGACCCTCTGAGCCTAATAACATGCTTGCCTTATGCCACTAAATTCTGGGGCAGTTTAATTATTGAAGAAACTATTTTCCAGGAGCAGTAAAATTTTTATCATAAACTATACTGTGTCTCTGAATAATGTTATCCACAGCCATCGCTAACATTATCATTTTTGTCTCTTTAGGCAAATGTAAAAATGCTTATAAATAAATATAGAAGCATATCTATCTTTCTAATTATATTCATCAAATATTTATATTCATGGATAAGGGAAATAAATAATTATTTTAAATAAAAATATAAAGTTTGAAACAGGAGTTGAATGTTCATAAATATTTTATTATTTGTATGGTCCACTTGCCCAGTTCCAAATGATTTCAAGTTCTGAGAATTAGTCTGGAAACAAAATAATAAGTAAAGGTTCTCGTGACTGCATTAATTCCATCCTTTTCCACAACATAGTATAAACACTTGCCATATTAATGCCTGTTTTTCTGAAAATCTTTGATACCACAGGCAGAGAGCAATTGTTTGCCAGTTCTTATAATCATAGGTTTTCAGAAACTAGTCATAGAGATATAACTGTGAAGCAGTTTGGAAATATTCACCAAGCAGTTCTCTAGAACTAGAGTTTCTACAGAATGAGAAGTTAGAACAAGCTTTTTTAGCCTTGTATAATATATTCATATCCTTCATATGCTCTCACCAGAAGATTTTCAGTATCTAGACAATCTGAATTACATAATTCAGAATTAAAGCCCTGATCATTCGTTTTTGGATTTGTACCTCAAATCTCAGCCACGTGGCTACTGGAACTTATACCACAGCATTTGCTCTGTTTTGACTTTAATTTCAAGACACCAAACAACAATGCAAGACAGTAATCCTGGAGTGCTGGGGGGACAATGTATTGAGCACTGTGTTTCCTCCAACTTTCAACCTAGACAGAGTTTCCAATTGGTAGTATAAGAAAAGAGAATCCCAGTTAAACTAAAGTGCTTCTGCACAGCAATAGAAGCTACCAACAGAATAAACAGACAACCTACAGAATGGGAGAGAATACTTGCAAACTATGCATCTGACAGAGGTCTAATATCCAGCATATAATTAACTTACAGAAATTTACAATAACAAACAATCCCATTAAAAAGTGCACAAAAGACACAAATAGACACTTTTCAAAAGAAGATCTACATGTGGCCAATGATCATATCAAAAAAGCTCAGCATCACTGATCATTAGAGAAATATAAATGAAAACCACAATGAGATACCATCTCACACCAGTTAGAGTGGATACTATTAAAAAGTCAAAAAATAACAGATGGTGGTGAGGTTGTGGGGAAAAAGAAACCCTTATACACTGTTGGTGAGATTGTAAATTAGTTCACTCATTGTGGAAAGCAGTGTGGCAATTCCTCAAAGACCCAAAAACAGAACTACCATTCAAGCCAGAGTATCATGACTGGGTATATACCCAGGGGAATGTAAATCAATCTATCATAAAGATGCATACACGTGAATGTTCATTGCAGCACTATTTACATTAGCAAAGAGATGGAAGCAACTTAAATGCTCCTCAAGAGCCCCATGGATTCTGTGAGGTAAAGAAACAAGCTGAGAGTCTCTGGAGAAAAAGGCAAGGACTGAGTATTGCAAAGGTGATGGCAGAATGAGAGATACACGTGGTGAGAACTCTGGGGATCTCTCTTAAGTATTCATCTGAGTATTGGTTAGTGCAGGCATGTAGAGAATTTACCTGGGTCTGGGTTAAGAACCACCCTAGAAAGAATAGTGCCTGGTGCCAGGAATACTGCAGGGAAGTACCTATTCCCAACAGAATGAAAAACCTTATGATTCTTAAGGATTCGAGGAGAGTATAAAGAAGGGTTCCACCTCAGTGCTGCGGACCATTTATCCTTAGCCAACATGGTAAATGTCACAATATCTAGCATCCAGTGAAACATTACTAAGATTGCCAAGAACAAAAAAGGAATTTGTGACCCATAATGTGTCCTTCAACTGCTGAATCAAAAACCAAAATATGGTGTATCCATCCAATAATAAACTACTTAAAAATAAACTTTTCATATACATGCATCTTAGAACTCAAAATGATTTTTGAAGACAAAAAAGAGTACATCTACATGATTTAAGTTAAATAAATTTCTAAGATTTACTAAGCTATAATGACAGAACATATATCAGCTGTGTGGAGGGAGAAGGCGAAATTACAAAGGAATGTGGGCAAACAGAGAAAGGGAAATGTTGATTATTTTGATCGTGGTGATGGCTTCATGGGTATGAACATATATGAAATTTATCAATTTATATAGTTAATTATGTACAATCTATAACATTACGATAAAGCAGTCTATAAAGTCAGAATAAAAATATCTTACAAAGGATAAGCTTATTTTCAGACACTTTGATAAGTGTGCCTTAATGATGTTATATTTTAGGAATTATAATTAAAATAATAAATTCAAATATTTCCAGATAATCTATTTTATTACATTAATATAGCTACTTTAAAATCTCTGAATTACTTTTTCTCCTTTTGAAAAATTATATTTAACATTGAAGACAGGCCTAATATTTTGCCTGCTTTGGGGCTTAGAATTGGTTAGCTGCAAATCAACTTTATTTGCTCTTGAGTTCACTGAATTAAAAAAGTTTGTTTTTGTAATTACTTGAAGTATTCCTCTAATTTTTAAAGATAATTTAATTGTTGTATTCCAAAGTTTGTTCCTGCTATCAGAGTTGTATTTTCTAATTAGTGAAGTAAAAAATATTTAGGATACATTTATATTTCACTAAGAAATCCACCTTTACGGACAAATTTCATAGAATCAAAGATTTAAAACTTTTATGCCTCATAGAACTACTTTATTAAACCATGTATGACAGAAATAGACAATTTTAACTTTTTTAACTATAGTAAATATATATATAGAAGCCAGAATAGTTCAATTTGTTATACACCATAAGATTTGCTGATTTTGTTCAACCTCTGTTCTCTTATTTTATGAAAATGAGAACAAGAAGGATTTTCTGAGGTTTCTTCTTTGTTGAATCATTTAAAGCTATTTATGCTTATTTTTCCTGCTTAGAGCCTGTTTACCTTAGCCTAAGTTAACAATCCTGTCTTCTTTGAAGACAGTCTAATTACCGTAGTGGGAACTTTCATCAGCCATCACGTATTGCATCTAGAAGTGCTGGAACAATAACTCAAAGCGACTGATTGACAGCAACTGTTACCAAATTAGCATTTCCATGGAAGCCAGCATCAGTTATCGTCAACAGACATTATCCTCCTCTGAGATTTTCTGAACTGCTTTTCAATAGAGGCCAAATCACTCAGTATGCAATAAAACAAAAGAAACTTTGTCTGAATACTATATTAGGACAGAAGCAAGCATCTTCTGTTACTTCACACTATATGATGTTTAAATTGTATGAGAAAAAACAGATTCTTCCTATTAGACATTACCTTTTGTAGTTTTGCTTTAAATTTAGCATATTTAAAAAATAGCACATACACTGAATTGGAATTTTTAAGTTTTAAAGCTGATTGATTAATGCAGTGTCAATATATGTCATGAAAATAACATGTCTTGCTAGGATTAGGTCTGAGCATATGCGAAACTGCAAAAAAATTACACCTCCTAAGAGATGAAAGTAGACTGCTTGTATTTTATAGCTTTCATTATTCAAAATAAAACACATTAATATTTAAATGCTGAGTCAGAAAGCTAAAAGAGATTTTCAATATGATCTAGTGAAAATGTCTGTATATAGATAGAAACATCAGAGACCATGACTTTCTCAGTATTAAATCATAAAATATTTTTAAAAGGCAAGACTACAACCTGATTATATGAACTCATATCTTAGTGTTCCTCAGACTTTCACATGGACAAACACACACACACACAGACACACACACAACACGCAACACATTTGTATCCTTCTATGCTTAATGATATGTTCTTTTCTAGTTTTATTTATTTAGTCTCAATGTTATTTAACTGCCTTTGATAACAAAGTGCAAGGTTACCTGATTTAAAAATTTCAGTCAATATTAGCATTTAGAACTTTACAACTTTTCAGTCAACCTCTGTGCCGTCAAACATCTCAATGATTTTTTTTTTAACTCTGCACAATACCTGGCAATTCCGAAACTACAGATTCTTAACCCATATCTTGCAGTTGATGTCTGACAAATTAGGTAACTAGTTAAAATTTACTATAGGTAACTGAATTCTGAATCAAATGTAACTATAATAAAAGTTTTTATCGTAATTGACTGCAATCGTACATGTTATATTTTTGGTAGTGATGCTACACCATTAATAGATACATTGATTTGAGTTATACTCAAATGAAGCTAATGACTATTATTGATTTTTATATAAATAGACACACATATGTATTGTAAACACATATATTACTTTTATGAATATGTATGTATGTATCCCATAAGTGGAGATAGTTTCCATACCACTGAAATGTAACCACAGTATTTATGATGTGCACTGTATACTATTTTACACTCACAAAGAAAAAGTTATATTTGAACAAATTGCCTAGATTGATTGCTCCATTTTTCTACTAGATATTTGTAACTTGGACGATTGGATGTCTTATTACCACCTCAGCATTGGCACATCCATATTAAACTAATCATCTTCACTTTGAAATACTTCATTTTAATTAGTTTTCTTAATAATATTTTCATTACTTCTTCCACTACACTAGAATTTTGAGTTCTCATTGTTTTTTTAAATTTATTCTCACTTACTATTATGGTAATTTTCTTTAGTCACCACGTTTTCAAGAAACTCTCTGGTAGCATGTCATAAAATGTGAACAGTTTCTTTTGTCACTTTAAGTGAACACATATCTAATTGTATATACTCTGTAATTATAACTTTCTTAAATTGCATCTATACACAGAAAAACACTGTAGCAAAACAAGAAAAATTAGGAGAGGTAGCTTACTAGAATGCCTAAAGCTTGTTTGAGACTTTCTTTTGGTTTCGAATTTTTAAACTTTTTAAAAAATTTTTAGTACTGTTGCTTCCATTTTTATGTACAAATAGTAAAGAAAACGATTTTTTATGCATAAACGACATTATTAATTCTTATCACCTCCAGGGTTTTCTAACTAGACTATCCCTTCAATCTGGCTAGGATAATGTTGAAATGCTTGTGTTAGTAATCTAACTTGTATGACATGATACATCTGATTTGGCTGTAAATAAATATGGCCACATGTCTTTTTCTTTTGTAATTAATTGCCAACCATATACATGCCTTCAATAACAAGAAATCCACTATTGCTACCATAAATTATCCAGTAATTCTTAGATTTACTCAGTTCAAAGCAGTATACCCTGCTTTTATACCCTGCCAGGTGGATCTTTGTGTTGCCAAAACACCGTCTTGACGGTGGCCCCTGCTCATTCCTGTTAGATGCGTCCGGTTTTCTGCTTCCTTGTTTCTCTGGCATCTCCATGTGTCTCCATCTCTTGGACTGACTTCTCACATATGTGGCTCACAAGGTTATCACCATAACATACAAGTTTAATAATAGTTGATTGATTCAAGAAGCCAGAGAATGAACTAGGTAAATCCTAAAGAATTTGAATATAGTAAACAATAAAGAGTCATAAATTAGTCAAAGAGAAATCAGATGAATAAATGGGGAATTGACACAGAATATGAGAAATGACAAAGAAAACTTGATTAATATTTCAAAATGTTTTTTACCACACTTATTTCCCTTAATGACTAATATGACAATTCCACTGCAGATAATCTAACATCCTTTCACTTGAATTCTCCATGCTCACTTTATTTGCCAAAGATACTCTTCCTAGAGATAATCCTTTCTTCCTCTGCTATACCTATGCTTTCTTAGGTATGTAGAAATTTTGGAAAACACTTTTTAAAAAATTATCAGAAAATACTGAATAATGCTATGGTTTGATAAAATAAAAAATATTAAAATAAAATGTATTATGTTAACAAAATACTCAATTATATTCTATGTTAGTTGAGAAACATTGTGATAAACATTGAAAAAAAGTATCAGTAAAGCCAAATCACTGTGCTCAAGGTGTACATAATCTAGATAGAAAGTTAGAACATTTACTTTTATTATAATGATTAAATTGAATAATGCCATGAAAATAATATCACTATTTACTAGAGAAAAAAAAGTTTCCATAAAGAATTACGAAAACTCATAATTTAAAGTAGTGAAAAATATTATGTAAAAGCACAGAAGGGGTTCGTGTGTGTGTGTATGTGTGTGTGTGGGTGTGTGTGGGTGTGTCTGTGCTTATGAGGAAAAAAAAGACATCTATCTAGACAAAGTTGTTGGCAGAGCTGGTCTCTCTGAAATCCCTCTTTTTGGTTTGCAGAATGCCACCTTCTCACTGTGTTTTCACCTGGCCTTTTTTCGGTGTGTGGCTGCTCTCCTGGTGTCTGTTTCTTCTTATGAGGACATTGGTCTTATTGAATAAGGGCCCACACTTAGAAGCTTATTTACTCTCCATTGAGTCCTTAAAGACCTGTCTCCAAATATATTCCTATTGGCAATTAGGGCTTCAATCTATAAATTTGGGGTTGATACAATTTAGTCTTTGATACCTAGCTTACAGATTTTTCTGACACCATAGTGGATGGTGAATTGCAAGAATATAGGCAACAGAAGTAGATAAAATGGATGAATTCCAGATTTGGTGACAGAGTGCAAACTGGAAAGGAGGAAGGACATAACAGTCCCCTGTAATTCACAGACTTCTACCTGCATGGTCCAAGAAGCCTTTTACAAAGATGTGGATTTTAGTATGTGATCAACAGTGAAAGAAGATACACTAAAAAACTCTATTTTTAAACAAGTAAATAACATTATGCTCTTAAAATAAAAAGCACCCACCAAAGATATATGGATACACAAAATAGATCATTCAAGAGCAGCAATATTTTCTTTTATGTAAGTTTAATGAATAATTAATTTGGCTAACTTATTGGATGAATTTCATCTAGATTTCAGAAAAGCATTTCACAAGGTCTCACATGATGTCCTTGAAAACAAAAATTCATTTTGTTGGAAGGCAAGGCATTTGGGTGGGATTGTAAATGGTTGATCATGTTCAGAAAGAGCTATAATTACTGAAAATCTGTCAAGAGAGAATACAGATTCTAGCGGCATGCAAGAGAAGCTCTTGTCCTGCTCTGTTTTACATTTTTATCAATGACTTGCATGATTACAATTGCAGCCAACAAAAAACTGGAAGTGATAGCTATTATGTTGGATGACAGATATCAGATGCAAAGAAGAAACAAAGGATATAAGATGTCCTATGAGAGTTGCATTGGAAAATCAACACAATGGATCAGAGGACATTTATACAAAGTTACCTCAAAGGCAGACAAGGTCCCAGACTTCAAAGGCATAGCTGTAATTTGGCTGAATGCATTATCTTATTTCCAAAAAGTATATGTCACTCAAAAGCATGAGGTAGCAATCATAAGAGTGTGGGAAAAAGGGACTTACAGAAGCAAAGATTGGTTGTTTCAATTCTATTTCTAATCAGGGAAGAATGAATCTTAGACAATATATTTTAAATAATAATATTTCATCAGCAAAGTTGACCTATTACTATCTGGGATAAAAATATTAAGCTTTCTTATCCTGGTGCCAATAAGTATGAAATTAATCTATTAACTTAGTTTGTAAAATGCTCATAAAACAACCTGATCCTACTATTTTTTCCTACCTTATATGCATAAAGGGAGAGAATGAATTGCTAATATGAGGTAAATGATTCCCTTCATTTAAGAGCTATACTTCTATTTTGAATAAGTAAATTGTTCTTGTGGCTTCATAGATCAATTTGGAAAACTTGATTAAGTTAGTTTGCAAGTGAGACATGGACCCATCCTGCATGTAATTATACAATCAGTTTTCTGGCTCTGCAAATACAAGAGTCAGATCCTGAACCACAGTAAATTAGTGAATATATGAGTGTCACAGTGAGAGACCTATTGAAGGACAACTTCTGAACATTGCCAGGAGATATACCATGCAGCATAATCATTAACTATTCAGGGTCAGCATTTATTCTAATTTTGTAGTTCTAGCTTGTATTAAAAATTAGTTATAGAAAAATAGTGACAGGTAGTAATCCACATCAACATGCAAGGAAAATGTTTATAAATATTTTTAAATGACAAGATCAATAAGAATAACATAACATGAAAGAAAAATGTATTGCACCTTTGACATATTTAATAGCATCTGTGCATGCAGATACAAATATATGACGTATTTTAAGCTATAAAACCTGTATGGTAATATGTAGTTCTTGTAAAATATTTTAAGAGAGGCTTTGAATGGAATCCTGTTAAGAAAGGAGCAGATAGAATGGTTAGGGGAATATAACATATATAACTGAAGTGCATTGTTATAAAAAATTAAGGACAAGAAAAATATATAAGTAATAATACATACTTGTATGTCCATCAGCTAGCTTCATAAATTAACATTGCCAATATTGTTGAAATCCCCTCCCTAATTTAATTCCCTATTCATTCTGCAGAGATGTCTTCTATAGTGAATTTTATGTGTATCACTCTGATTCATCGTCTACAGCTTTACTGTATACATAGACATTTATAAGCATACTGTGATGCTATTTTATATGTTTTTAAACTTTAGGGAACTTGAACCCATGATATACATCTTCTGAAACTTATTTTTTCCAAGCAAAATTATGTTTGTAAAGTTTATATGCATTGATAGGTGCTGTGCTATTTCATTTATATTCACTGCTTCACAGTATCTCATTATATGAATATGTATGAAAATGTTATTTCTTTAATATTCTCTGTTAATAGCTATATAAATAGTTTCCCACTTTATTTTTTCCACAGCAAACAACGCCATGAACATTCAGAAACACATGTTGTGTGCATATTTCTATTTCTGTAATATACACACTTGGAGTACATGGTTGACTTACAGATTCAATGCATCTTTGATTTTACTACATTTTGCCAATCATCTCCTCTGTGTATTTACACTGAGTAGTCTACCCACCAATAAAAAGGTTACTGTTCTGCTTTCTCACAACATGTGATATTCTGTTTCCTGTCAGCATTATGGGTGGGAAAATATATCTCATAATGGTTTGAATTTGTAATTTTATAATTACTAATAGCGTTGAACATCTTATAATTTGTTTTATAAGCTTTTTATGTTTTGTTTCTGGTGTAATAGTGTTCACAGCTTTGGTCCTTTCTGACTGACTTCTTAATGCATACTATATATGGCAATTTGTTGCCATTTTTTTGGCATGCGATGTCAGGATTCAATTTCTTTTTAAATAAATGTTTTATTGTTCAATAAATTTAGATTTACAGAAAAGTTGCAAATGCAGTTCAAAGAGTTCCTATATACCCCTTATCTAGTATCTTCATTATCAATATCTTACATTACTATGATACATTTTCCAATATTAAGAAATTGACATTGATATATTACTCTTAACTCCAGAAAATATTTGGATTCAGCCATGTTTTCATTAATACCCTTTTTCTGATCCAAGGTCCAATCCAGGGTAGCACTTTGTGTTTAGTTGTCATGTTGCTAGTGTCTTCTGGTCTGTGAAAGTTTCTCAGACCTCCCTTGTATTTAATGACATCAACAGTATTAAGGAGTTCTGGAGTTGGAGACCTCACACCTCCTGATTTCAAATTGTATTACAAACATATAGTAATCAAAGCGGTTTGGTACTGGCATAAAAACAGAAATATAAATCAATGGAATAGAATAGAAAGTCCAGAAATAAATCCCAACATACATGGTCAACACATTTTTTACAAAGACATAATAGAAAAAGGATATAATAGGAAAAGGAGAGTCTCTTCAAGAAATGATGCTGAAAAAACCGGACTTCCACAGGCAAAATAATAAAATCAGAGCCTTATCTTACACCAGACACAAAAATCACTTCAAAATGGAGGAAATATCTAAGTGTAAAACCCGAAACTATGAAACTCCTAGAAAAGAACACAAAAGAACAGCTCCTTGACTTTGGCAATTATTTTTTGATATCACACCGAAGGCTCAGGCTACAAAAGCAAAAATAAATACATTGGACTACATTGAACCAAAAACCTTCTTCACAGCAACAGAAACAATCAACAAATGAAACGTCAACCTACAATATAGAAAAAAGTATTTGCAAGCCACGTCCACATATCTGATAAGAGGCTAGTATACAAAATGTATAAACAATCTTTATAACTCAATAGCAGAAAAACAACTCAGTTAAAAAATGGGCAAGAACCTGAACAGAGAGTTGGCAAAGAAGACATAAAAATGATTAACAGGTACATACAATACTGTGTCATACGTACAATATTGTGTCAATATTGTATGTCAAAAAATGGAAATGAGTTGCCAAATGTAGTGTGCATTAAAAAGTCAGTTAGAAAGGACCAAAGCTGTGAACAATATTATACAATATCCCCAATATCAGAAAAATGCAAATTAAAACCACTGCATCACCCCATACCAGTTAGAACAGCTATTAAAGACAAGAAATAACAAATATTGCTGAGGATGTGGAAAAAGGGAACCCTTGTACACTGTTGGTGGGAATGTAGCTTGGTATGGCAATTATATAACAGTATGGAGGCTTCTAAAGAAATTAAAAATAGAGCTGCTATATGACAGCAATCACTTCTCTGGGTATATGCCCAAAGAGATGAAATTACCACCACATAAAGGTATCTGCATTTATGTTTATTGCAGCATCAGTCACAATAGCCAGGGTACAGAAACAATTGTCATTAATGTACGAATAAAGAAAATGTGGTGTGTATATATATATGTATTCACACACACACATACATACATACATTTTAATTATATACTCAAATGTGTGTATATATATGTATGAATATACATATGAATATACAAATATTATTTAGTCTTTGGAAAAGCAGATCATGTCATTGGCCACAATGTGGTTGACCTGGAGGACATTATACAATGTGAAAGAAGCCAGACACAGAGAGAAGAATACTACATGGTATTACTTATATGTAAAAACTGAAAAAAAAAATCAAAGTCAAATATATACAAATACACAGAGATAAAAAATAAAACAATGGTTACCAGGGGTGGTGAAGCTATAGGAAATGAGGAGATGTAGGCCAAACGGTACAAGTAGCAGATATGCAGGAGAAACAAGTCTAGAGCTCTAATGTAATGAGGATTATAGTTCATGAGATTCTATTGTATAAGGGATTTTCTGTTAAATAAATAAATGTTAGCTGTTATTCTCATCGACAAACATAACTATGTCAGATGACAGATATATACATCTGCTCCACTATAGTAGCCAATTTACTGTCTACATGAATGCCATAACATCATGTTGTAAACCTCAAATATACACAGTCAAATTTATTTAAAAAATAATAAAAATAGAAAAAAATTCCACTGAGATGATCTATGGGTTTCTCTCTTACAACATTATTTTGACAAATTACATGCACAAATATTGTGAATATGTTAAGAAATTTACTTGCATTATTACATACTCACCACTTGTTATTAATGCACATGTTATATAATTGTGCATTTATTTTACTAATATACAAGGTTTTTAATCTAGGGTTATAATTTATAGTATGTAGTAACTTACCTTTCTTATAATGTGAGTTAAGTAGTAAACTGTATTTTTATTTCAGATAATGGATTGTGGTTTCTTTTTGCTTATTCTCTAAAATAATTTGAAAAATAATTTGAGTTATTATTTTCTTGAATGTTTGATAAACACTTCTCTGAAAACCATCTGTGCTCAGTGATATTGATGGATGGATGCTAAACTAGAAATTAAATATGTGTAACAGTCGTAAAACAATTTATGTGTTCTATTATATATTGAGTATTATTAAATAATTATGCTATTTTATAAAATGCTTTTCCAAGTTTTCAAATTTATTATTTTTATTACATTTTAACCTGAAATAATACCTCTCACATTATTATTATTGTTACTTGTACTAATTTATATCTCAATTTTTCTCGATCAGTATTGTTAAAAGTTTGTCTATTAAATATGTTTTCAAAGATTTAAATATTTATTATATAAAATCTCTCTACAGACAGACCTCAGAGATATTGTGAGTTTGGTTCCAGACCACTGTAAGAAGCAAATGTTGCACTAAAGTCGGTTACATGGATGTTTTGGTTTCTCAGTGCATCTAAAACTTATGTTTACACTATACTATAGTCTATAGAGTGTCAAATAACATTATGCTTAAAAAATGCACATACCTTAGTTTAAAAATGCTTTATTTCCCCCCCCAAAAATAATGATTATATGACCCTGTAGCCAGTCATACTCTTTTTGCTTATGGAGGGCCTTGCCTTGATGTTGATGGCTGCTGACTGATCAGGGTGGTGGCTGCTGAAGGTTGGGGTGTCTATGACAATTTATTAAAATAAAACCATGAAGTTTGCTGCATCAATTGACTCTTCTTTTTACAAAAGATTCCTTTGTAGCATCTAAGGCTGCTAGCATTTTATCCACCATAGAATTTCTTACAGAATTGAAGTTAATCCTTTTAAAACCTGCCACTGCTCTATCAACTAAGTTCACTATCTTATATTGACATGATGTGGTGTCCAAAAACAATTACCAAAGTAGTATCAATGATCACTGATCCCAGATCACTATAGTAAATTTAATAATAGAAAAAAACTGTAAGTATTGGGAGCATTAACAAATGTGGCACAGAGACACAAAGTGAGCACATGCTGTTAGAAAAATGGTGTTGATAGACTTTCTTAATGCAGGTTTGCCACTCTACTTCAGTTTGTAAAACATGCAATACTATATGCTAAGTCCAATAAAATGAAGAGCAATAAAGTAAGGTATGCCTGTATTTTATATTTGTATTGTATTATATTAATATCTGTTTGGTGTTTTTTATTTTTTCTCTTTTTTTTATTATGCAAGTAATGCAAAATACTCTTTAGTTTTGATATTTAGCTTATTAATTTTATTCTTTAATTGTTCATGAAGGCATGTGAATGATTTTAATATCATTCTCAATACTATGTTGGCCACATTGTTCAGCATAATTTATCATGCTTTCTTTCACTAACTGGTTACTTAAAAATATGTCTATATATTAGTAACTATTTTTTGTTTTTGTTTTTATAGTTATTGCTGTCATGGATCACTACTGTAGTCACATTATGTTGAGAAAATACAGTCTAATTCTTTAAAATTTATTGAGACTCACATAGTAGGTAATCAATTTTTATAATTTCTGTGTCAGAAAAAATGTGGATTATATTATTATAGTATGTAATATCCTCTATGAACTCCCAATAATGTTTGTTCATTTGATTGTTCAATCTTCTGTGGAAACTCTTCACGTTGGTACAAATTTTTTGGTTTTGTATTCACTTGATCTATAAATTACTCACAGACATATTACGTAAAGTCTAACCAATATTGTGGCTATTACAATGTCCATTGTGTTTTCATTATTATTTGATTTATATATAGTTTAACAGTTTTTATTAACATAAAACATACAAGAAATGGGCAAATCATAAGTATGTAGCCCATTGAAGTATCAAAAAGTTGTTAATATCTAATCATCAAACATATTAATAATAGAATATTACCACTCCCACAGAAGCCCACACACCACTTCTAAAAAGGAACCGCTATTCTGATTTCAGTTGCATAGGCTATTTTTGCCTGTTTTATGAAATTCATAGATTATGCATTCTTCCGTGGCTTGACATATTATATTTGTGAGACTCTTCGGTGTATTATATGGCAATAATTAATTAATTTTAAATTTTGTATATTATTTCAACAGTAAATGGCTTGATATACCATAGTTTATTATTTTGCTGAAGAGAAGAGCTTTCAGCTAGTACGCATAATGCTGCTATAAACATTCCTTTAAATATCCTTCAGTGCACATACACATGCGTTTTATTTAGTTAATAGGTGACAGATTATTAAAATGTTCAAATGTAATAAATATTGTCAATTAGTCTCTAAAAGTGACTTTTTAAACTTCATTTCTACCAGGAATATACGAAAATTCTCATTATTTCCCATCCTCACTGATACTTGGTACTATCATTCTGTGTAAATTTTCAGTATTCTGATGGGTGTTTTTTTATTCCAATGGATTTTTTTAAATTTTCCTGAAGATTAATGATTTTGAGCATATGTTTGAAATATTTGTTGGCTTCTTAGATTTCCCCTTATGTGAAAAGCTTGCTCAACGTTCTCCTAATTTTTTTGTTTGGGTTGTCCACTGGTTTAAAGGAGCCCTAGCTTTATTCTGGTTATAAATTTTTATTGGATAAACATGTGGCAAATACCTTATATTACTTCATGGCCCGTTTTGTGATTCCTTTGGGGTTGTCTTTGAGGAATTAATATTTCTAATAAGATTTCTTCCCAGTGTCCAGTTTTGGTTTTAAGTATTTTTATGTTTGTGCTTCTGCTTCTGAAAATTAATATTTGATTCATTTATTCTAAAACTATGTTAAAATTAAATATATTTTTAAACTGTCATTTCATGCTGGTATACTCAAACTTTGCCATATCATAATATTCTTTATAACTAGTAACATTTTGCCACAATTAAGGTATATGTCACTTTGTTTAAAAACACTTAAAAAATTGTGCTGTACTTTTTAACTCTTAAAAAAGAAACTCTGAACATCTTTTGTTTTAATTGGAGAACTTTTCATTTTATATTTATATTGGTTATTGATGCATTTGAATTTTCTGTAAATTTGAGCTTTTGTTATAAAAAATGAACATTATTATTATCAGTTCTTTGCACAATGGGTAAATATTAGAATTATACACCTTTTATTTTCCCACCATTTTGTATCTTACACCTTCTATTTAGGATCAATTATCAGTTTTCTAAAGTAATTATTAATCTATTGACAACATATAGTTATAGTTAACGAATTACTTTTGGAAAGGCCTTTCCTATGCCCTCATAACTGAAGATTTTTTTAACCTAGGGGTAGATTTTCAGTTTTACAGTTATTTTCTTTTCACAATTTGAAGAATTTATTTCAGGCTTTTCTATTGATCTTGCAGATTCTCATGTTACATCCTTTATTGTTCTTTGTACATAGTATTAATTTCACTGGTTATTTTAAATATATATTTGTTTTAGTATATTTTGGGCAGTTGTCAGTTTTTTTTTTTTAATTTCTTTTCGTGTATTTTGCCTAGCTTTTGGTGTGTTTTCAGAATTTAAGGTTTAGCGACTTTCATCAGCGTAGAAAATTCTCAGTAATTTTCTCATCAACTGTGACTTATTCATATCTACATCATCTCGCCTTCTGGGAATCAAGTTAGACCCATGGTGAATGTTCTCATTTTTGTCCTCCATGCTTGTTTACTCTTCTCATATATATATATTTTGTTTGGTTGGCTGGTTTTTTTGACGGAGTCTCGCTCTGTCACCCAGGATGGAGTGCAGTGGCGCGATCTCGGCTCACTGCAAACTCTGCCTCCGGGTTTCACGCCATTCTCCTGCCTCAGCCTACCGAGTAGCTGGGACTGCAGGCGCCTGCCACCTCGCCCGGCTAATTTTTTGTATTTTTAGTAGAGACGGGGTTTCACCGTGTTAGCCAGGATGGTCTCGATCTCCTGACTTCGTGATCTGCCCACCTTGGCCTCCCAAAGTGCTGGGATTACAGGCGTGAGCCACCGCGCCCGGCCTTCTTTTATATTTCTTTGTTGAATTCTTGTTAAATTCTTCATATTAGTTTTTTTTTTCTGTTTATTAATGTTCTTTGGCTCTGTCCAGGTTGCATTAACCCTATCTATTTAACTTTAGAAAATCTCTCTCCCTGTCTTTCTCTGTAGTCAGGTAGGCAGATAGATAGATTTAGGTTTAATTATACATATAGATATTTACATTCACATAATTTCTAGAAGTTATGTGGTACTTTTTAAAATCATGCTTGATTCTTTTGACAATATTTTATTTCTGGATTATATTTCTATTTATTTTTTGCCTTTTAAATTAAGTATTTAAACATCAGTATCAATTATCTCCATATCTGAAGCTGCCTAGGCCCAAATTTTGACTTTTGGGGGAATTATGCTATGCTTATATTTAACATGAATTATTCTAGGCAGCATTTGTATTTGTTTCTGACAGCAACCTGAGGTGCCATTAACCAGGGATCACTTTAAATTTATATTTCATACTAGGGGATCTTGAACCAAGCATCAGTATAAACTCAAATGCACAAGGCAATTCTGTGACTGGAAAACATACATATATTTGCCAGTTCCCAGGGCAGAATTATTTTGTCCTATTTGGAACGGAGGCCAAGATAGTTAATTAAACACACTGTCTTTGTATGTGGGCTGATTTTTTTTTTTCCTTTTTTCCCCAGTCTACCCTGTCACAGGCTGTGCAACCCTCCAAGCCTCTGGCTGCTTGTGGAAGTCTTGGTTCCTACCTCACTTTGACAAGGGTTTACTCCTTTTCAGTGGTCTCCACATGACCATAAAAATCCCTAACGTTTAGTTTTACAATCAGCAAATGTCCGTAGGATGGCTCTGAATTTGCTTACATGTATAATAGTCATTTTTATTCCACTTTTGTCTCCAGGAATTTCTTTTTTTTTTTGAAGTTTAGCCATCATTTGAAAATATTTCATTTTTCCTAGTATGAATGACTAGGTTTGATAAAGCAGGGAAGCTTCTAAGGACATTAATTCAAGAATATTTTTGCATTGCAAATACATTATTACCCTTGTAGGAAGTAGCATTTCCTCCAGCATTTTAGCCAACTGAAAACATGCAGCGTTTGAAAGATCACGTATTTTAACATGTTGTATTAAAAATTAACAAGGAAAGAAAAATACATAGTTGTCCCGTGAAGACAGTAGGATACCATGTGAAGAACACTCACTAGAAACGGAATTAATCCCCACCCAGAGAATTTCCTCTACATTATGCCGACAGGTGGTAATTCAATAGTCAGAAAATCTACATAGTGACAATAAAGCACGTGTAATTTTGAAAAAGTTCTCCTTGTGAAAAATGATTCCTTTAGATTGATTGCATATCTGATTGCCTGAATGAATATACATAGAAATACATATTTTTCTTTCCTCGTTTATTTTTTAATACAACATACATATGTATAGATAGAATTGTATAGTGAGTCTGTATACATTACTCAGTTTCATCAATTGTTATCTTAATGGCCAGTCTTGATTCCTTTATTTACAATTAATTCACTTGTTCTTAAATATTTTGAAGCAAATCCTACAAATATTTAATCCACTTGTATTTCAGTATGCATCTCTATGAAAGAAGGATTCCTTTCCAAAAAGCATACTCATATTATCGTTATAAACTCCTTTTGCAAACTTGTGCTGAAGGAATTCTGTCATCTACCTATCCATCTACCTACCTACCTATCAATCATCCATCTGCTATAACATTGACCAAATAGCAATAACAACAGGGAATCAGATATGTTATCAATCTAAAGGAATTCTATTCCACAAGGAAAACTTTTCCAAAATTACATGTGCTATATTGTCACTTTGTAGGCTTTCTGACTTGTGGATTACTGAGGAAATTCTCTGAGTGGGGATTAATTCTGATTCTGGCGTTCTTTGCATGATATCCCATTGTCTTCACTGGACAACCTAATGGGCCAAGTTGGTGGTAAAAGTGAGATTATCCATCAAACGAGTGAAGAATGTTATTGAAGATTTCCAACTGGAAATCACATGCACTAAGTTATAATCATTTCTGATTTTGACTTTTAGGTATTTTATGTAGAAGTTACACAGTCATGAATTTTTAAGTTGAAAACTTAATGTGAAGATATCCTTGCTTTCTGAAATAAGCCTATTCTAATTATAATTATAACGAATAAGTCCTATATCCATATGTATCTGCTCTACAGATATTTGTCAGGTGCAGCTTGGATGCAAGTTTTTATTCTTTCTCCAGCATATTTACTTCAAGCAATACTTTCAATTGCCATATTAATTTTAATGTGATTTGTAACATAAAAACAACTTTCCCCCTACTTTAGTTCCTCTTTGATGTATTTGTGATTAACCACTGTTTCCAAATGAATGCATCTGAATGAGAGAAAAATGAGATGTAATTGTTCTGCTATATTGCTGTCATTGCTATGTCACATATTTAACATAATCTTAATCCATTCGATGTTCCAAACACTAAGTCCAACAATATCATTTTATTATTATAAACATCATACAATACACATGTTAACAATTGCCTCATTGTTACAAAATGTTCTTCTGCCTATCTATGTGTCTATAAATTTTATATCTATACATGCAAACCTATATATATATACACACATACACACACAACTAAATATATGTGTATACACACACTACTATATATAGTACATACAGTGTGTATATATATATAATGTGTGTACATATATATAGTGTGTATATAGTATATACATATATAGTTACAACCTCTGCCTGAAACTAACCATCTCTTTCATTCTTTAGGTGTCAAGTTATTATTTTACTATATATGTACATGCTTTAGCAATTATGCTTTATCCAAATTTCTCTTTTTACTAAGTGTGAAGATAGTTTCAATGCCTGTCATTAATCTCTCCTAATCTCATTTGAACATTTTTAATATTTCCCATTTATAAAGTTTCAAATTTATAACTATATGTTATCTTTCACCAGTCAATACTCATAGCCATAACACTTACCTAGATAACCCCTAATTCAAATTCAATTCGTATTCTACTTATCTTTTTTTTTTTTTTTTTTTCTTTTGAGACGGAGTCTCGCTCTCTCGCCCAGGCTGGAGTGCAGTGGCGCAATCTCGGCTCGCTGCAAGCTCCGCCTCCCGGGTTCAGGCCATTCTCCTGCCTCAGCCTCCTGAGTAGCTGGGACTACAGGCGCCCGCCACCACACCCGGCTAATTTTTTGTATTTTTAGTAGAGACGAGGTTTCACCGTGTTAGCCAGGATGGTCTCGATCTCCTGACCTCGTGATCCGCCCACCTTGGCCTCCCAACATATTCTACCTATCTTTTAAGATCTTAATAAGGTTCTTTTTTCCCCATGAATTTTACATTTATCTACTCAACTACCAACAATCCCTTTATTTTCCGAATTTTTTAAATCCTGATTTTATGATCTACTTTTCTTAGCTTAATTTATAATACTGACATCACATTATTTGTAGCTGATTTGCTATACCTAAAACATTAAAGGAATTGTAAATTCATTACAAAGTTATGTATTATCTGTTTTCATATCTGTATCTACTACCAATGCCTCACAAGTGCCTTTAAAAAGCCTGTTCATAAGATATATATCAATAAATACTTGTTAAATTACATTGGCTTCAGAGACTAACACTTTTCTCAATAATAAAGGCCATTTTTTACCTATTTTACTAACTTTGCTGACACAAGTAAAGCTTTAGCTTTCTTATTCGGACAATGCAAATTTATTTAAGTGTATGTGAGTTAACTCATGGTGATCAATACAGATTCAATTGAAGTGAATAAGGGAATTTGTAAGACAGAAATAACTAGATTGAATGTTAAATTTCTCTCAATACTCTTAACAGTTATTTGCCATCCATTTCCCTTAAGATTATCAAGTTAGAAATACCTTTATTACAACAAATTGCATAGTATCCACAAACATTCAGAAATGTGCCTTTTCATTTGATCCTAAAATTAGGATAAACTCTACACTGTTTTGTATATAGAAAAACATATTGGCCTCATTAAGATTAGTAATGAGAATTGATTTTACAGGGTGTAATCTGAATTTTATGCATGTCATTCTAACTGGGCTAATGAAATGATTTTGGTTGCCAGAAGCATTGCAGCCTGGCTATCTGAAGTGCAGCATTTTACATGAGCTGCCAGAAATAAAAGCATTCATTTGCACTTCTAGACAGAAAATGTGGGTGTCTACAGACTGCCATACAGAACTAGAGAAATCCAATTGGACAATAAAAAACTTTAAAGCATCTCTCCAGATGGCTGAGCTGCTGTTCCTTCACGTGGAACTGCAACACCCTACTTTAGGTGATGGCATTTCTGCCTGTGTATGAAAATTCAGAAGAGAAGTTTAGAATTCAAAGAACAGTATTCGGCTATGTTGGTGATCAATATTTTTAGCTTGATTTTTTTAGGTGTGAAATTTATCATACCCCTGATGACAGGAATATATAAGTTTCTTCTACTAACTGAGTAAATATTAGCATTCCTTACAAACAGCAGCAAATATATCTAATGGCACACAAAGGAAGAAAATATGGCAAAGAGATACTATGACTGATATATTGACAGTCAATAGTATTTTTTAGGAGGAATAAATTGAAGATTTCTTCCTTGTGTTTTGTATGATAAAAATTACTTGGGTGTCATTTTAGCTTTTATAAAAAATGACTAATGGCTATACAACTATTATTCTCAGGAATCATCTGAAATGGCAGCCAATAGCTTCTGGATATATTAGATTTTTATTGGTGTACAGATGTGTATAATTACTGCCTTGCTTCGCTTGAATAGAAGCCATCTGTTTATCTTAGGATGATTAGAACATTTAGCAAATTTAGTTACTTTAGCAGAATCTGAATTCTGGTTTTTTTTTTTATTTTTTATTTTTCACTTCATGTGATTTAAGTGACCATTATGAGAAAGACTCCCTGGATACTTTAACTTCAAAAAAACCTTGAACTGTGAAGAAACATACTGGCATTGACAAGTAAAAATGTTTTTTTCTTACAAAGGCTGTATTAAATTCATTTTGCTAAAATGTTATATTAAATACATATTTATTCTACATATATTAAACAGATCAATTTATTCAATGTTATACATTAATGGTGAGCTTTATTAATTCCTTTGGTTTTATATCTACTCTGCAAGAAATGAAAACTTGTCCTGCTTCCATCTTTTAAGGTGGCAGACCATTTTGATTTTCTGATATTGATTGATCCTTGAATTTGTAAAAATAATTTTATACACACACACACACACACACATATATATATATATATACACACACACATAAAACATTGCTTGTTCCAGTTATCTATTACTCCACAGTGACATAGCCCACAAGGTTAAGTAACAAGTATTTAAATATATCTCAACATTTCGTAGGTTGGGAATTTGAGAAAGGTTCTGCTGAGTAATCCCTATACTTCAAATGGTGCCAACAGACATTTGGTGGCATTTGTCTGGAGGATAAATTGAACCTGAGGCCCAAGTTGGTTTAACTAACATTCATATTCTGGTGACTTTGTAGGGATGTTTGCAAATCTGGAGCTACCATTGGAGCATCTTCACTTGGCTTTTTATGTATCTTGGGCTTTCTCAGAGCATGTTGCCCTTAGTGGGTATTTCAGTTTCTAATATGTCAGCTCTTGTTTCCAAAAGAGCAACAGTAGTATGTAGTTGCTAATATTCTTAGAGTTGTCAAAATGTTACCTTAACCTTTTCCAGGGTACGATGCTTATCCTATTTTTAAAATTTATTAATTTTTATTTTTCATAATCATTGGTTAAATTCACCAACAAATTCTGTTAATATCTGAGCTTCAGTTGTTTGGTTTTGCTATTGTTGCATTTCATTCCTTCCTTTGTATGCCTTTTTATTCTTGTAGAAGTAACAAAAATAATCAGATTTTTAAATGGGCAAAAGAACTGAATAGACATTTCTCAAAAGAAGACATATAAATTCCCAAAAGGCATATTTAAGAAGTGTTCAAATCAGTAATTACCAGGAAAATGTAAATCAAAATCATGATGAAATACCTCCTCACTCCAGTTATAATGACTACTATCAAAAACATAAAAAATAACAAATTCTGGAGAGGATTTCAGAAAGGGGAATTCTTATACTCTGTTGATGGGAACTTTATTTTGTATAGCCATTAGTAAAACGGTATGGTGGTTCCTCAAAAATAAAAATGAAAATAAAAATAAAACTGCCATATGATTCAGCAATCTCACTAAATGGTACATATGCAAAGGAAATAAAATTAGTACGTTAAACGGATATCTGTATTACAGCATCATTCACAATAGCCAAGATATGAAATCAACCTACGTTTTCATCAGTGGATGAATGAAAAAAGGAAATGTGACATATATACACATTGGAATACTATTCATCCACAAAAACGAAATTCTGCCATTTGCAATGTCATAGATGAACCTGGAGGACATTATGTTTAGTGAAATAAGCCAAGCACAGAAGGACAAATGTTACATGATCTCACTCATATGTGGAATCTAAAAAAGTTGGATCCCATAGAAGTAGAGAGTACAATAGTGGTTGCAGGGGACTGAGGAAGGTAAGAGGGAGGGGAGAACCAGGAGTGATTGAACAGCAGGTGCTATGTTACAATTAGATAAGAATAAGATCTGGTGTACTATTGCACAGTAGGGTGATATAGTTAGTAATTACTTATTGTGTAGTTCAAAACAGCTAACAAAGAGGATTTTGAATATTCTCACCATAAAGAAATTGTACGTATTTCTGAAGGCTAATATGTTAATTCCTGATTTGATCATTACAGTGTATACACATATGAAAACATCACATTGTACGTTAGAAATAGGTACAATTGTGTGTCAATTAAAAATAACGTTAAAAAACAGATTGAGAAAAAAATTTTAAAGCTTAAGAATTATATCAGCAAAACCCAAAACGTTGAAAATATATCCTTTACTATTTCTTTTGGTGAATATCTGTATCCCAAAGCCTTTTATTTTGCCCTTATAGTGAATGCTAATTCACCCCAACTTTAAGTTCTAGACTAAACATGATTTTCTTTATTATTTTCATTTCAATTTTAATTGTGTTTTGGCATTTAGTTTTGATTTTTTTGATTAAAGAAAGTATTGCTAGGACAATTGCCATCTTTTGCATATATTCTGTATCTTGCCCATGCTGGCTTCTAACATATTCTCCTTATCCTTGAATAGTTTCTTCTTTTACTGTCATGTATCTAGATTAGAATTAATTTATTTGCTTGGCACTGACATGCATTTCAGTTTAAGAATCTAAATTACCAAGTTTCTGTGGTCTTTCTTTTTTAGAAACTTCTATTGAACATTTAAAGAAACTTCTTAATCTAGCACTCATACTTTTACATTGAACTTTTATTTATTTAACATTTACTTACCTCTGTCTTGCATCTTAATTTCTCAGGATCATCTCATTCCCATTTGGAATATTTTGATTGTTCTTGTTGGTAATAGACTGGTTGGTTTTATTTTGTTTCTGCCTTTTTTGCAAGAATTAATTTTTACCTCTATTATCCCTCTGTTTATCTCTTTGAAGAAACCAACATACTCATATTAAAGTGTATTATACACATATTTTATTTGAAATTCACACATATTCTGCTTTGTTAATGTACGTCCTTCTTAACATTAGGTATATGTACATATTATGCCCAGTTGGATTTATTTGTGTGAAATTATATTTTGATCATTTTTCCATTACTTGCTTTCTCCTTCTATACCTTCATCCTGTCCAGCTTTATTATTTCTTTTTTCAGTTAGCTGTTCCCTGTGGCCTTCTGTCCAAAATATAGGTCTTTAATCTTGGTTTGGGCTGATCTGTGTGCTTACTTTGGGGATGTAGGGAATTTATTCTTCAAAACAGTAGGTGGTTTGACTCAATCCCTGGTCAAGGGTTTGTGATTTTTCTCTTCCCACCAGCCTAGACTATAGGTTCATAAAAGCTTGAGTTTGGAGCAAAGGTCAGTGTTAGCATTCTGAAGCTTTCTTTTTGAAGCGTGGGAGGAGAATATGAACTACACATTTGACCTCTAGTTTCCATCCATGAGCTTGACTCCAGTCATTTTTGAATTGAATTTTGAATGAAAGTTTGTTTTTTTTCTCCTTGTTTCCCTCAGGTTACCTTGCATGAACAGAACTTCTGGCAACTCCTACCCGATTCTAGACCAAGAGAATAAGCTCTGGTGTTAGCCCTGTTCCCTGCTCTCTATTTTAGTTTTGATCTTTACTCTCAAAGATCTAATTTTGTACAGCTGACTTTTGCATTTTTATTGTACATTTTGTCCAGTATTTCCGTGATTTAGAATGAAAATGGGGTGCTTGAAGTTATAATGTTACAATGAATGGAAGTTGAAACTTTAATTATACAATTATTAACTGAAATATTTTCATTCTTCCTGCAGTTTGTTCCATAGAGCTATAGAAAAATATGATTGAACAAACGTTTGTATAATGCATTTGTGTAATTTTAGATATCACAATAGAAAATATAGTTAGGCCGGGTGTGGTTGCCTGTAATCCCAGCACTTTGGGAGGCTGAATCAGGAGGATCATGAGGTCAGGAGTTCGAGACCAGCCTGGCCAGCATGGGGAAACCTCATCTCTACTAAAAATACAAAAAATCAGCTGGGAATGGTGTTGCACGCCTGTAGTTCTGGCTACTAGGGAGGCTGAAACAGGAGAATCTCTTGAACCTGGGAGGCAGAGGCTGCAGTGAGCTGAGATCATGCCCCTGCACTCCAGCCCAGGTGACAGAGCGAGATTCTGTTTCAAAAAAAAAAAAAAAAGAAAAAGAAAACTACCGTTTTTTTTTTCTAATTTCCACCAAAGTAATGAGAATCTGATTTTTAAACATACACACACATATATTACACATATATGTGTAGTTCAAAAGACATTACACTAGGAAAATAATTAGAACAACACAGAGTGAAATGATTAGGAATATTGTTAAGTTTTATGCAATATCGTGGTTTGAATTTTGGTCAAGAAGTGGCAAAGAATTCATAACAAATCTACGCTGGACAAAGAAAAAGTACTAAGAAGATTGAAGGATGCACACAGATATTTGTTTTTGAGGACAGACTTTGGCTAATAGTGCTAGAGGCACAAGATAATTTATGCTCTCTTCCTCATCTCCAGATTTAAAGAAATCATCACGCCATGAAATCTTGGAAGCTTCTCTTTAGGTAGAGCCACATCAACTCTGAATGGCTGCATGGAGGACAAACCCCACCAATAGGTCCCCCTGCTGAGTGTTTTTATGTGAACAAAAAAAAATGTTTATTTTGTTTGAGACATTTTACATTTTTGAATTATTTATTAGAGCAGTAAGTCTACAGTCAACAATAGTTTACTTTATACTACTGAAATGGGGAAAGTTGCCTTGTCCCCCTCACAGGGCGTAAGACTAGGGTATGGCTGGCTTCTTCAGTGCCCCACTGCTCAAACCTCTAGGGGTTGCCTACAGATGGACAAACTGTGGGGCTCCGACCCCAATCCAGTGTTTAGGGGTGAGTGTTTACAGCTGAAGCCCCAGTGGGCATGTGTTACAGGGTGCTCTTTTTGTTTAGTTGTCCATAGGCGGCTTGTGTTCGTCAGGTCTATTAGACCCCTGCCTTATCGCAAGGACAGAGGTCTTTCTGTATCCTGGGGTTCTTGCCTTGGTGTACCAGAAAAATCAGATCACACATGGGCTTGGAGAATGAGTGCAAGGTTTTATTGAGTGGAAGTAGCTCTCAGCAGGTGAGGGAGCCATAAGGGAGATGGTTTTCCCCTGATGTTCTCTTGACGTCCAGCCGCTTGTGTGTTCCTCCATCTATGTGTTCCTCTTGACGTCCAGCCACATGTGTGTCTGCCCTTTAGGGTCTCAGAGTTTTATAGGCACAGAATGGGGACATGAAGGGCGAGGGTTGTCTTGGGAAATGCAACATTTGGGCACAAAGGCAGGAGTACCTGTCCTCACCTAGGTCCACGGACACAGGCTGGAGGTGGAGCCCTTGCCAGGGACCACACCATTCTCCTCCCATCACTTCCCTGTCCCTCCTTCTGTATCACTACCAATCACAATTAATATATCAAACACAATGTTAAGCATTTGTCTAAACTACCACTTACATATAACTTTTTATAACAACCATAAATAGTTACATTACATAAAATATGCCTAATGTCAATTATCCATTGCTCCATGAATTTTCATACTTATGAATCACAAAGTTAAATTAACAGAACAGAAACTTAGTTAATGTTCAGGTGCTATAATTCTACTTATATGAGGTATTAGAATGAACACAAAAGTAATAGATAAGTAACTGGTCACTGATAAACTAGTTTCTACATGGTAAGTAGGTTCTTCACAGTACTAAAATCGTGTCCTGTGAGTTTCTTCCACTTTGTTAATCTATCCTTATTTTACAGCTCTGATTGCTGTAAAACGTTACTATGAATAAAATTATATAGGATGACCATGGTGTTTTGTTTGTTTTAGTTTGTTTTCCTTTTTCTATGATTATGTGAATAGTTTGGAAGAGAAAAATATTTAGAAAGGAAGAAAAGATGATTAACAATTTTTTATAGTTTAGATGTGAGGCTGTTTATTCACTCATCTGTACATTCAAAATATATATTTATTATTTTGGAGCTATTGCAATAGATGAATGGCAGCAGGAATATTAATGGGAGGAATGATTTAAGAAGTAATCACATAAGAACATTTGACAAGGCATAAAAACTGCTTAAAATTATAGAAAGGTTGTTTTTTGTTGTTGTTTTTCCAATTTGTGACTTAATGTCTAACTTCTGTCAAATGTAAATATCACGGCATGGTGGCTCACTCCTGTAATACCAGCACTTTGGGAGGCCGAGGTGGGTGGATCACCTGAGGTCAGGAGTTCTAGACCAGCCTGGTCAACAAGGTGAAACCCTGTGTCTACTAAAAATACAAAAATTAGCCAGCGTGGTGGTGGACACCTCTAGTCCCAGCTACTTGGGAGGCTGAGGTAGGAGAATTGCTTGAACCTGGGAGGCAGAAGTGGCAGTGAGCTGAGATCACACCACTGCACTCAAGAAAAAATAATTAATATTTACATCTGTGGGAAGTTATATGATAATAAACTTCATTAAGTTATAAAACAGTGGGAACTGAATTTTCTCATGTAAATTTTTTCCTCAAAAAACAATTTGTGCCAAAAAATTAAATTTACAGTAAGACAATCTCTTCCAGAAAAGTTTGTTTCAGTTTGGACATGGTGCATATCTAAGAAGGAAAATGAAGCCAATGTTGAAATTCTTGAAGAGAAAGAATCTGGTTTTAATCATAGAGGTGATGGTTAAAGCAAATTAGATTAAGTCAATGATGGAGTCCACAAAAAACAAAAGAGAATGAATTATGAAGCCACTAATTTATATATTTATATTTTTAATAAAGAATATCTCCTACTTTATATGTATGTGACCTACCTAATCTTATTTGTAACATTTGCTTTGGAGTAATAGTATAGCAAGAAGTTTTTAAAAACCTAATATATTGTTTTGAATTCTATTGTATAATGTTTAAATAAATCTAGCGTTTATTATAGTGTACTTACGGGAATTTCTCAGGCAGATTGGAGTCGTATTAAGTTACAATTCAGTTATAATTTTTTAATCTTTAAGAAATACATTTTGTTGTCCTGGCGCAGTGGCTCAAACCTGTAATCCCAGCACTTTGGAAGGCCAAGGCAGGCAGATCACGAGGTCAGGAGATCGAGACCATCCTGGCTAACACGGTGAAACCTTGTCTCTACTAAAAATACAAAAAATTAGCCGGGCTTGGTGGCGGGCGCCTATAGTCCCAGTTACTAGGGAGGCTGAAGCAGGAGAATGGTGTGAACCTGGGAGGCGGAGCTCGGTAGTGAGCGGAGATCGCGCCACTGCACTCCAGCCTGGGTGACAGAGCAAGACTCCATCTCAAAAAAAAAAAAAAAAGAGAAATACATTTTCTTTTTTGCGTTTTCAAAGATGAAGAAGAAATAATCGTTTTTTGTTTGCTTGTGACCTAATGAGATCATTTTTGATACACATTTTTAATACACATAAAGACAACACAATTTATCATTATTTTAAAAACAGAATTGTCAGTTTCAGTTGTTATAAGTTACTGAGCTAATGCATGGATAAATAAATATTTCTTAAGTGTCCATTTACACACATCATTGAATGTTGCTTCCATTTCTGTTTTTGATAATCAAATATAAATTTACTTATACAATTTGAAAATATACAATAATATATAATTTAATTCTAAATGAGGTAGCAAATTTTGGAATTAGGATTTATAATGTTATTAATTATATTCATTGTGAAATTTAATCATGATTTAATTTTCCAAATATTTATATTTTTAAATATTGGCTTTCTTTGCAATTTTCTAACCAATATTTTTGCTTTCAGTAATTACTCTTTTTTTTTTTTAACTTTTCAATTCACAGGTCTATGTGCAGACTTGTAATTGTGTTTTATGGGGTTTTTTTGTATAGAATATTTCAACACCCAGGTATTAATCCTGGTACCCATTAATTATTTTCCTTGATCTTCTTCCTCCTCCCACCCTCCACTCTCTGATAGTCCCCAGGGTTTGTTGTTCCCCTCTGTGGGTCCATGTGTTCTAATCATTTAGCTCCCACTTATAAGTAAGAACATGCAGGAACAGTTGTTATTCTTGTTGGGTGTTTTTTGTTTTGTTTTGTTTTGAGTCAGAGTCTTGCTCTGTCACTCAAGTTAGAGTGCAATGGCGGAATTATAGCTCACTACAACCTTAAACTCCTGAGCTCAGGTGATCCTCCCACCTCAGCCTCCGGAGTAGCTGGGACTACAGCCATACACCACCACATCTGGCTAATTTTTAAACAGTTTTTGCGGAGAATAAAAATGTTGCCCAGGCTGGTTTTGAACACCTGACCTCAAGCAGTCCTCCAGCTTCAGCCTCCCGATGTGCTGGGATTAGAGGCATGAGCCACCATGCCCAGCCAGTTGTTTTTCAATAATTCATTTTCCAGAGTACTTCTCCATTATTATACTATCATGATTTTGACTTATACATTGCAAAATTTTGTTTTTATATGTATAGAGCTGCCTTAGACCCGTTGAGTACAAAAGCTCGTTTATCTGTTCAGGTCATAGTAGGCTGAGACACTTGGTGATATTTGTATGTTCTCCCAGGACAAAGCTAACTTGTAGGAAACTATTCCTCTATAAAAATATATAATGGACATAAAAGTATCTGTTGGTCTTGCAATGCATAATTTTGTTTTTCTATATACATATGGGATATTATGTTAAATATTTATCTTCATTTTAACATGATCAAATTACCTTAATACCTGAGTTTTCTATGTAATATTTTAGCCAATATACATGATGAGAGAGTAGCTTCTGGATAACAGGGAAACACGATAGTCAAATCATAAAACTAATATTAATAGTAAAAAACAACAAATCCTGAGTATACTCAATACTGGGTTCATATAAAGCAAATAGAAATGTATGCAATTTAATTTACTTTTTTATTGTGTATATTTAAAACTAAAAAATAATGTTTTAATATACATCTGTGTAGTGAAAATATTACTATAGGTAAACAAAATGCCCTTCACTTGAAAACTAAGAATAAAATCCATTCTATTTTTATATATATTTTAAAATTTCAACTATTCATTCATTTGCATAAATTGATCTGTTTGAAAATATTATTATAATGGATGAGGATTACATAATAGGCTAAAAATGCCTTTAAAAAGCTGTTGATGGCCGGGTGCAGTGGCTCACACCTGTAATCCCAGCACTTTGGGAGGCTGTGGCAGGCGGATCACCTAAGGTTGGGAGTTCGAGACCAGCCTGACCAACATGGAGAAACCCCGTCTCTACTAAAAATAAAAAATTAGCAGGGCTTGGTGGCACATGCCTGTAATCCTAGCTACTCAGGAGGCTAAGGCAGGAGAATAGCTTGAACCCGTGAGGCAGAGGTTACAGTGAGCCAAGATCGTGCCATTGCACTCCAGCCTGGGCAACAAGAGCAAAACTCCGTCTCGGAATCAACAGCGATTTTTTTTTAATGTAGGATTTTTTTAAATATAAAAATGCAGATAATACTAATGAAACTTAACATAAGAATCTGTCTTTACCATTGATCTATCAAGAAAAACTAGTAATTGCCAGTATTATGCTATAATTTTAGAGGAATGGAATTATAAGAATCTTCTACAAGACATTCAGACCCTGACACTCGTACTATTTGTTTATTTAATTATTGATTTCAGTAATTCTAAAAATACTAGGAAATTTTCACGTATCAGAATAGTCTGGAGGCATCAACATTGTAATTAGCTTTATGTACGAATTTATAATAGACATTTTTAAACTATGGCAGTTCTAAAAGCATATGTTAATTAGCCACGAGCAAGACTGTATATACCTTGCAACTCAAGAAAAATATAACTGGTTTAATTTCTATATCTTTGGACAATACATGGGGCAAGTCAGCACCATGCTAGAATACATGCCAGATGCTGCTGCTGCTGCACAGATCACGATTTGAATGTTGAAGTGCTAGACTCCCTACTTTCTCAGTTGCCTCATTTTATACATAGTAAGTATATCATATACCTAAAGTTATACTGTGTACTTCTTACATAGACATACCCATAGCTTAATATAGTGGAATCCATAAGGCTTTAGTGAATAGTTGAGGAATTATAACATGATCATCATATCCAAGCCTGCAAGAATGATTATTTGGTTTAGATTTCTCATACTATCTAATTTGGAATATTTAGAAGAGTGCCAAAAACAGTGTATATTGTGGGTTACTTATGAAAATATAGCTGTAAAAATATAATGTTGCAGGCCAGTATTAGTTACTGATGTTATTAAAAGATCATATCATTCCCATTAAATTAATAGGCAACTGGATTTTCTTTATAATTTTTGCTCAAACAGGAGAAATTTTTTTGAGAAAAGATGAGGAATGTTAATACTGAAAGTCAAACGTCAGCCTCTCTCAGTACAAATTCAAGTACTTTAAACACTTCCATGAAGACCTCCAGAAGATAGAAAATTATTATTATCAGAGGGCCATCCGTTATTGAGTACCCACATTTTCAGAAGTCGTCATCTGCTACCCAACCAAAAGTATTCCTTCAGTATTCCTATAGTAATTCTTAAAAATTTTTGTCATTAGTTTGTCATTTTCCTTGTGAACTTCCTGGTCTTCCCCTTTACACTCTCACACTATTGAATCCACATTTTACTAACATCACATAAAGCACTCAAACTTCAGTATGGCTACTGTCTCCAGTGGATTTTGTTTCTTTCATATTATCAGCTGTCAGGAATATCTCCATATTATGGGTTCCGGTATCCTGTTACTTCCATTAGCTCCTGAGAAAGTCAAAAGTGAAAGGCAAACATTAAAAGATTCTCTGATTCAACAACATGAGAAGTCAAGCCAAAGTGAGGTAGTGAGGTTCTTCATAACACTTAGTTACAGAACTGATGTGTTTTCCTTATTACACGCGGACTCTTTGACCCCTTAGTAACCTACATTAGGAGATCAGGATCCATACTTTTATCTATATTGGAACTTTATCCTAGGCTCCACCCCTTCCTTTTCTGCTCTGCTATATAACATTTTCTTTTTGTATTTTTCCTTTTTTTTCTGAGTAACACAGTTCCCAAAATCACACACTGATATTGTTTTTTCCAACTCTGAGTTCATAAAAATATTAATAGACTCCACAGGAATATAAAAGTAAAATCATGCTTTTTAAATACATTGTTTGGCACTACTACCTGTGATTTCCATCTGGCATGCAGCTATTCTTCAAATATTTCAGTGCATGAAACAGCAGCTAGTTGTCTGAGTGGATAGTATTAGAATATTCTGGGTTGACGGGAAATTTAGAACAGAGAAGGGAGGTAGGGCAAGGGGAATTATTATGGATGGATGTTGAAAATTGTTTTTAAATGAAATAATCAAACAATGCATACCTTCTATAATAATATTCAATATGTACAATTGTTTATAAATAACGCTGACAAATATAATTATTAAACCATCCCTGCATCCCTTGTATAACACTCACTTGCTTATGGTAGATTATCTCCGATATGTTGTTGGATTTGGTTAGCTAGTATTTTGTTAGGGTTTTTAGCATCTATGTTCATCAGGAATATCGATCTGTAGCTGTCTTTTTGGCTATGTCCTTTCCTGGTTTTGGTATTAGGGTTATGCTGGCTTCATAGAATGAATTAGAGAGGGTTCCCTCTTCTCTGTCTTGTGGAATAGTGTCAAAAGGATTGGTACCAATTCTTCTTTGAATGTCTGGTAGAATTCTGCTGTGAATCGCTCTGGTCCTGGACCTTTTTTTGTTGGTAGTTTTTAAATTACCATTTCAATCTCTCTGCTTGTTATTGGTCTGTTCAGGGTATCTAATTCTTCCTGATTTAAGCTAGGAAGGTTGTATTATTGCAGGAATTTATCCATCTCTTCTAGGTTTTCTAGTTCATGTGCATATTGGAGCCTTGAATGATCTTTGGTATTTCTGTGGTGTCAGTTGTAACATCTCCCGTTTCATTTCTTATTGAGGTTATTTGGATTTTCCCTCTTCTTTTCTTGGTTAACCTTGCTAATGGTCTATCAGATTTATTTATCTTTTCCAAGATCCACCTTTTTGTTTCATTTATGTTTTTGCATTTTTTAAATTTAAATTTCATTTAGTTCTGCTCTGATCTTGGTTACTTCCTTTATTCTGTTGGGTTTGGGTTTGGTTTTTTCTTGTTTCTCTAGTCCCTTGAGGTGTGATTCCACATAAATAGAATTAAAAGCAAAAATCATATGATCATCTCAATAGATGAAGGAAAGGCATTTGACAAAATCCAGCATCCCTTTATGATTAAAACTCTCAGCAAAATCAGCATACAAGAAACATACCTCAATGTAATAAAAGTCATCTATGACAAATCCACAGCCAACATAATACTGAATGGGGAAAAGTTGAAAGCATTCCCTCTGAGAACTGGAACAAGACAAGGATGCCCACTTTCACCACTCCTCTTCAACATGGTATTGAAAGTCCTAGCCAGAGCAATCAGACAAGAGAAAGAAATAAAGGGCATCCGAATCGGTAAATAGGAAGTCAAACTGCCACTGTTTGCTGATGATATGATTGTTTACCTTGAAAATGCAAAAGATTCCTCCAGAAAGCTCCTGGAACTAATAAAATAATTCAACAAAGTTTCCAGATACAAGATTAATCTACACAAATCAGTATCTCTTCTATACACCAACAGTGACCAAGCAGAGAATCAAATCAGAACTCAACCTCATTTACAATAGCTACAAAAAAAAATTGAATACTTAGGAATATACCTAGCCAAGGATGTGAAAGACTTCTATAAGGAAAACTACAAAACACTGCTGAGGGAAATCATAGATGACACAAACAAATGGAAACACATCCTATGCTCATGGATGGGTAGAATGAATATTGTGAAAATGACCAGACTGCCAAAAGCAATCCACAAATTCAGTGTAATCCCCATCAAAATACCATGATCATTCTTCACAGAACTAGAAAAAACAATTCTAAGATTCATATGAAACCAAAAAAGACCCCACATAGCAAAAGCAAGACCAAGCAAAAAGAACAAATCTGGAGGCATCACACTACCTGATTCAAACTACACTGTAAGGCCATAGTCACCAAAACAGCATGGTACTGGTATAAAAATAGGCACATAGACCAATGGAACAGAAGAGAGAACCCACAAATAAAATCAAATATTTACAGCCAGCTGATCTTCAAGAAAGCAAACAAAAACATAAAGTGGGGAAAGGACACCCTTTTCAACAAATAGTGCTGGGATAATTGGCTAACCACATGTAGGAGAATGAAACTGGATCCTCATCTCTCATCTTTTACAAAAATCAACTAAGGATGGATTAAGGACTTAAATCTAAGACCTAAAACTCTAAAACTTCTGGAAGATAACATTGGAAAAACCCTTCTAAACATTGGCTTGTGCAAGGATTTCATGACCAAGAACCCAAAAGCAAATGCAATAAAAAAACTAAATAGCTGGGAGTTAATTAAACTAAAGAGCTTTTGCAGGGCAAAGGGAAGTTTCAGCAGAGTAAACAGACAACCCACAAAATGGAAGAAAATCTTTGCAATCTATACATCTGACAAAGGACTAATATTAAGAATCTACAATGAACTAGTCAAGTCAACAAAAAACAAACAAAAAATCCTATCAAAAAGTGGGCTAAGAACATAAACAGACAATTCTTAAAAGAGGGTATACAAATGGCCATCAAACGTATGAAAAAATACTCAACATCACTAATGATCAGGGAAATGCAAATCAAAACCAGAATGTGATATCACCTTACACCTGCAAGAATGGCCATAATCAAAAAACCAAACAGCAGTTGATGTTGGCGAGGATGTGGTGATCAGGGAACACTTCTACACCGTTGGTAGGAATGTAAACTAGTACAACCACTATGGAAAACAGTATGGAGATTCCTTAAAGAACTGAAAGAATTACCATTTGATCCAGCAATCTCACTACTGGGTATCTACCCAGAGGACAAGAAGTCATTATACAAAAAGAGATACTTGCATACGCATGTTATGGCAACACAATTTGCAATTGCAAAATCATGGAACCAACCCAAAAGCCCATCAATCAACCAGTGGATAAAGAAACTGGTATAAATATACAATGGAATACTACTCAGCCATAAAAAAGAATGAATTAATGGCATCTGTAGTGACCTGGATGAGATTGGAGACTATTATTCTAAGTGAAGTAACTCAGGAATGGAAAACCAAACGTTGTATGTACTCACTGATATATAGGAGCTAAGCTATGAGGACACAAAGGTGTGAGAATGATACAATGGACTTTGGGGACTTGGGGGGAAGGATATGAGGGGGGCGAGGGATAAAAGACTACAAATAGGGTGCAATGTATACTGCTCTGATGATGGGTGCACCAAAATCTCACAAATCACCACTAAAGAACTTACTCATGCAACCAAACACCACATGTACCCCAATAATCTATGGAAAAATAATATATATACATTATAAATATAATTATGTTTCTATTATATTTGTAAACAATAATTTTTACCTACTTAAAATTTCTTAGGACATTAATTAGATATAAAGTTAACAAATCTCTTTTGCTCCTTCTCCCATTCTCCCTACCTCAATTATAAGAGATTCTGTGTTTTAGGTTCCTAAATGCTAATGCTGGTTGCTATACATTTTCTAATATTAGGAAGAATTTCCCACATATTAAACAATTTGTATAAACAAGACCGTAGAAATGTTTTAACATATGACTATGAGTCTTTCCAGTGATTAAGTTCCTAGGTACTAGAGTGGTCTTTATATGATGAGTTCTACTGTCTATGTCTCTGTTCTTCTTCTTCCTGCTTAAACAAGTATGAAACCTATATTCCATTTACTTAGTGTGGCTCTGGAAACATTCTTACTATCTGTTTTTTGAGGGTTTCCGGTGGTCCTAGTTAATCAGCCTCCCCAGAAGCAATGTTTTTTCTTTCAGGCTGCTTCCAGTCAAAGATGAGCCTTAGACATCATCTGGTGCTCAAGCAGTTTATTTTGGCAGTGCTCTTACAAGACAGATAGCAGGAACAGGCCATGGCATTGGGCAGATACAACCAGGGTATCGGTTTACCCCCTGACCAGAAGCGTTTCTGTGCAGAGACCATTCTCAGAGTTTGGGGGTTCTTCCCCTTTTCTTATTCCTGTATTCAGTCCGGGTAAATAACCAGGTGTTTCTTACATAAAGAGGATGTAAGGTATAAGGGTAAGCTTTGCTGTAAGGTTTATGAGACTAGCATCTGTACTAAACTACACTTATCCGCTGGAACTCTGTGGTTCAGCATTGGAAATCGCCAGGCTAAGTTGCATTATATAGCTGAATGAAACACAGTATTGGCCCTGCAAGTTGTTTGCATGGGGCTAATGGCTATCATTAATCTTATGTCTCTTATTGTATATTGGGGTCCACCCACTGACCCTGAAGGATTCAGTTATCAAGAGACTGCCCACCTGAACTTGAAAGAATACCCAATAGTCAGTTAAATCTTGAGAAGTGGAACTTGTGAGAGAGGGTGAGGAGGAGCCACAACATGAAGAATACCAAGAGGAAATAATAGAAAGCTCTGAACATTGGTGAAGATTTGGAGCTCATCTGCCTGGGTGAGTGGGTGGGCCACATTGAGGTCAAAGAGAATCAGGGGGAATGCGTGAGGCACGTTGGAGATGAGGCAATCAGGGAGACCCTTTCTGCATAGCTGCTAGTAGAGTTCATTCTAATAGCTGTGCAGTAATTGTGATTTCAATTTGCATTTATCTTATGCCTAATCAATTGAAATGGAATTTCTTATGTTTCAGGGCAGTTTGGATATCACTTAGGAAATGACTTTCAATTTGTTGCTCAATTTTTTCTTTTGTTTCGAAAATTTTGAATAGATTTTACCTGTCACTTGTATATTTTAGATGAAGTCCTTTATTATATAAATTAAATGCAAATATTTATAGCAGTCTGTAGATTACCTTTAGTTCTGATACATAGATGTCCCTAAGTTTCAGGTAGTCCAATTTGTCAAACTTTTTATTGTTAGTGCTTTATATGTAGTGAGTTAAGATATAGTTTCCTACAATATAAAGCCTTTATTCCAAGGCCACAGTATATATTTCTGCTTATGTAAATTAGAAA
This sequence comes from Homo sapiens, assembly GCF_000001405.40. NCBI lineage: Eukaryota > Metazoa > Chordata > Mammalia > Primates > Hominidae > Homo > Homo sapiens. Next base: position 54,742 of record NW_013171810.1, read on the forward strand.
ATACTATCAATAATACTTCATAGATTTTTGTGCTAAAATTTCTAAATATTTTGTTAGGCAAATGAATACCTACATATTTATATTGTTCCTATAAATTATATTGTTTTATTGCAGTTTATTTTCTACTGCTTGTTACTAGTATATGACAACACAAATATCCTAGTTGAAAAAAAAGCAGCTTTAGTAAACTTAATTCTAAAGTTTACCTATACATTAGTTTGTATTTTTAATATGCACAATGAAATCAACTCAATTTTTTCTCTACAATCATTATATATTTTATTTATTTTTATTCTTTTTTTATTTTGCATTGGTAGGGACCTTCAGCCTAGTAGAAATGTGGAGGGAAGCAAGGTTTATTTTATTTCCAATCTCAGTGAATGCCTCTATTTTTTTTATACTAAATGTGATGTTTGCTGTATACATTTTTCTAGATACTCTATGAGATTGATACAGTTCTATTCTACTTATAATTTGCAAAGATATTTACCATGTATTAAATGTTATAATAGTTTTGAAATTTATTAAGATAATATGATATTTTTTAAATTTCAGATATTTTAAAATATTAAACCAATTTTTATCAATTTGGTTGAATGTAATATATATTGTAGATGGGATTTATTTTCCGGAGAATGTTTGCAACTGTGTTTCATAGTATTTTTTTCTGCAAATGTTCAATTTTATCTAAATTTTTAAAAATTTGTGGGAAAAAATAGTTTATAATATTCTTATATTGTTACAAAAATGCCAGGGAGTTCAGTCTAGGTACTGCTGCTCACTGCACAAAAAGCCAAACACTGAAACAATGAGTATTGCCAGAGAAGAAGGTTTTAATCAGGTGCTACAGCTGAGGAGATGGGAGATTAGTCTAAACTCATCTCCCTGACAGACTACAATTAGGAGTTTATATAGCAGTGAAGAAATAGAACTACGTGTGGGAAAACATGAACTACAGAGGAGTAAGCAAGAAGAGGAGTGGGTCAACAAGACGCAGATGGTTGGTTAGGAAGCAATCAAAGCAAATGAGGGGTTTGGCATCTCTTTGCCTGGTTATGGTGTCTGGTGAGTTTCAGTTCTTTGATACTTTTTGAGGGAACTGAGAGTCCTTTCCTGAGGAAGGAACTCAGATAAAACAAAGGTAAGTTTCAAGCTTTAAGACCAGAAAGGTCAATTGCTATGTTTATCAAAAAAGCCGTATATGGGACTATTAGGTCAGTTTCAATATTATCTTTTTAGTGTCTATGAAGTCTATAATGATATCTTGTTTTAACTCCTGAATTTGGAAATTGTGTCTTCTCTAATTTTTCCTTAGTCAGTCTTACCAGGCTTCATCAATTTTATTACTCTGTTAAGAGAACCACAACTGAGTTGCTGATATTTTCTAATACATATTTGTATCCTATGCTGTATTAATTTATTCTATTGTAATTATTATATCTTTATTTCTACTTTCATTGCATTTAATTTGCTTTCAGTTGTCTAATTTTTGAAGATGAATACTTTATTACTAATTTTCAGACTTTATTTTCTATAGGGGATACATATATTTGTATACACATATCCCTATATATCCATACATATATTCCTTACACACACACACACACACACAGACACACACACACACATACTTTAAGGGTAACTTTTGGAGCAGTATACATGTTCTAAGTTATATTTTATTAAATATACATTCAAAATATTTTTCTAATTTTAATTCTTTACCAATGAGATTTTAGACACATATATCTTCATTTCCAAACATATATAGATTTTGTTTTTAGTTATCTTTTAAAAATTTGATTTCTATATTGATTTTAGTGGATAAGAATACGTACTTTATATGTTGTAATCCTTTGAAACATATTGAGACTTGCTATGTGACCCAGAATAGCAACAAAAGTGAGTTTAGCAGTTTTTGGAAACAGACTTTGTGTGCATATAGTCACTTAGTACTTAGCTCAATTTTGTTTTTCATTCTTTCTTAATGGCTATATAATGCTTAGAGATGATTTGCTAGAGATATATGTTAAATAAGATTATACAATTCTTATTATTTCTTTTTAATTTTTGCTTATATATTTTAAGATTTAGTTACTCCGCATATTTTCTTCTACCTTTGTTTCAGTTCATTAATTTCCTTATCAATTATATCTGATGAATAATGAAACCTATTCATTAAGTGCTTACTTTCAGTTTTTTTATTTTTACTTCTATAATGTCAACTTATTATGTTTAAAATTATAGTTCTCTGTTGAAAATCATTAGCTTGCCTTTTAATTTTGATCACATTAGTAAAAGTAATTTTAAAATATTAGTCGAGCTTACTCAATACCTGTACCCACTGTAAATTTGATATTATTTTTCCACTCTCTTTCTGTGTTTAGGCATGTTAAATTAGTGTGGAATATTTTGTATTAAAAATTCTAGAGACAATTTGAAACTTTATATTTTATTATATTTTTCATACAGATGATTTACTAAAAGAACTTAGGGTGAGGTAAGATGGCCTTAAACAAATGAGAACCTGTGTTAAAGGTTTTAAAGTTGAGTTTTAAAACTAATGTGGAGTTGGATTTTTTTAAATAAAGCCAGATAAAAGCATTAGTTTAGCTCCATCCAGGAGATTAATTTGTTTTCCACAATAAAACTAACAAATTCAGATAGCAACTTTTACCAATCTCCACTTGATGTCTCCTCATTTTGTACCTTAGGACTATGTATTTTTGTGTCTAGCATGCTTCTTTATCAAAATGTGGCATATTTGTCACTTCATATATTTGCCTTTTTCAGAATTCAAACAAGTCTCTTAGTTGTTTATAAGTTATAAACAGCCTAGTGTGGTGATTTAGTAATTGGATTCACTAATTTATACACGACTTTCTAGTCCAGTCTAAAACATCTACAACTTATTCTGATTATTGCTCCATTATTGAAGATAACTGCCTGAATGTTACATATCCAACAAATGTGTCTGTACAATCTAAACAAGTTAACCACTTCGGGACAAGTGGAACAATCAAATATTCAATTAGGAAAAAAAAATGTTGGTTATCAAAATTTGGCCAAGCTAATCTATAGGATTAATTCTTTTAGGTGAGTGTACACCAATAAAACAAAACAAAACTAAATAAAAATAAGTTTCTGAATGTTGCCTAATATATTTGTGATTGTACAAATAATTTTTGCCTTCCTTCATGTCTAAAACACCAAAAGCAATGGCAACAAAAGCCAAAATTGACAAACGGGATCTAATTAAACCAAAGACCTTCTGCACAGCAAAATAAACTACCATCAGAGTGAACAGCAACCTACAAAATGGGAGAAAATTTTCACAACCTACTCATCTGACAAAGGGCTAATATCCAGAATCTACAATGAACTCAAACAAATTTACAAGAAAAAAACAAACAACCCCATCAAAAAGTGGGTAAAGGATATGAACAGACACTTCTCAAAAGAAGACATTTATGCAGCCAAAAGACACACGAAAAAATGCTTATCATCACTGGCCATCAGAGAAATGCAAATCAAAACCACAATGAGATACCATCTCACACCAGTTAGAATGGCAATCATTAAAAAGTCAGGAAACAACAGGTGCTGGAGAGGATCTGGAGAAATAGGAACACTTTTACACTGTTGGTGGGACTGTAAACTAGTTCAACCATTGTGGAAGTCAGTGTGGCGATTCCTCAGGGATCTAGAACTAGAAATACCATTTGACCCAGCCATCCCATTACTGGGTATAGACCCAAAGGACTATAAATCATGCTGCTATAAAGACACATGCACACGTATGTTTATTGCGGCACTATTCACAATAGCAAAGACTTGGAACCAACCCAAATGTCCAACAATGATAGACTGGATTAAGAAAAGGTGGCACATATACACCATGGAATACTATGCAGCCATAAAAAATGATGAGTTCATGTCCTTTGTAGGGACATGGATGAAATTGGAAATCATCATTCTCAGTAAACTATCACAAGGACAAAAAACCAAACAGCGCACGTTCTCACTCATAGATGAGAATTGAACAATAACACATGGACACAGGAAGGGGAACATCACACTCTGGGGACTGTTGTGGGGTGGGGGGAGGGGGGAGGGATAGCATTAGGAGATATACCTAAAGCTAAATGACGAATTAATGGGTGCAGCATTAGATATACCTAATGCTAAATGACGAATTAATGGGTGCATGGCACATGTATACATGTGTAACTAACCTGCACATTGTGCACATGTACCCTAAAACTTAAAGTGTAATAATAATAATAATTTTTGCCTTCCTCTGCTTTGTGATATACAGGTGATTAAACATTTATTTCCTTTGATAACTTGTATCTGTCATCCAGCAGATGGTATGTCATAAAAAGACTTCAGCCTCCATGGTCAATTTGGCTCCTCTGGGACCCGAGTTTGACCCAAAGGAAAGACTGAGGGATTACTATGAGGGAAACGGCACAATCCTGGCTTACCTAGCAGAGATGGTAACAGATGGGTACCAGTGCCCATTACCCAGAGATAAACAAAACATGTAGCTTTTATAGTTGAAATCACAATTTTTTTTTGAAACACTGCAGATTATTGAAATTGCTTTCCCTAATAACTGTGTTGATCTACTTTAGAGCAGGCTGCTAAGCCCTGGTGGTTTTTTATCAGGGCTTAGAAAAAGAAATGTAAACAAACACAAGAACACAACAGAACACAGCTCATTGTCCCACAGGCTGTTTTGTAAACTCTGCTTTGCTTTTGTTCACTTACTATTATATAACTGATAATTTACCTTGTATATAAAGAAATTCAGCTGTATGTTCTACTAAACTAATTCTGGATTATTTTTTGACAAGTTGGATACGAACTAAATCAAGCTTCTAGAGTTAATGTCACCTAACACAAAACAGAAGGTAGAAGAACAAATGACATCAATCAATAAATAAAATTATAAAATATGAGAAATCTAAAAGAGAATTGGTCTGGACTTCGCAACAATCAATAGTAGAAACTAAAAGCAAGGAAGGGTACTTTATTCCACGCCAAGAGACTTACGTTGTACAATAACCAAACATAATGGGAATACCTTATATGGGTTCGGATTAAAACAACAACCATAGAAATTAATTGTATTGAGATTATTGGGGACATTTAATTATGGTTTAGTTATTACATGTCAGCAAAGAAGTATTATAAATATTTAAATGATTTGATAATTGTTGCATTTGGGTTATAAATGTATAGTGGTTAATTTTATACTGTTTTCTCAGCTTTTGACTGGAAATTTTCATAATTATATTAATTTTAAAAATTAATGTCAGTGTGCCTATACTTCTTAAAATTCTTCAATAGATTTTCAGAAATACTTCTGAAAATTTCAAACTTCTTCATCTTCAAATAAGGTCTTTTATGAAATCTTAATATAAGTTCTTACTTGTCTGATTTCACCACTCACTCTTACACAGTCACTCAAACAAAACTGCTTGAAGTTTCACAAAACGTCATTATATGTCACAGCTGTTTGCCATGGCACAGGTTGTACTCTCCATCTGGCATGTCTCTACCTTTTTTTTTAATACTATTTAAGAGCATGTATTAGGATTATTACAATCTTGCTACAAGGGAAATAACCTCTGACGGAATAGTAGAAAAATTCACTCTTAGTTTGGACATTTTATAGAAAAAAGAGAATGTTACATAATAATCATTAGATGGACAAGAAAATGTATATCTAGGTAAAGACTTTTAGATTTTGAGTAAGACATATATGACAATCACTTGTGCAGCTGTATGGAGGTAATATCCATTGTGTAAAATTTTGCATTTATGTAAATTTTGCATTTATATAAAGCAACTGGCAAATTCTGTGTCAGTTCAAGAGTTACCCTGATCTAAAATATTTGCTTTGTTTCCAATTTCATAGGCATTTCTTTCTTTGTGCTCCAATGACCTCATGCTTACTTCAGGACACCTTACTTGTTAATTTCCTTTATTTTCTTCTGCAGATTATAATTAGTTTGAAGGCCTGGATAATTTGCTTTGATGACTTATAACATTGAACCTGGCAGAAGAGCTGACTTACTCTACATACTACATAGGCATTTGGGAGATTATTTTTGAATTGAATGACTTAGTTATTTAGAGGTTAATAATAGTGTGAGGATATATACGTATATTTCAGCTAATATTTTTGTCTATTAAAATGTCAATTTTCAATAATTGACAATTAAAATCTTTTTATGTATATTCTCCTTGTAGTGAGTAACTCTGGTATTCTTTTAAAGATAATCAGGACTATGCTGGCTCTGAAAGTTTATCTTGGCCTTTGCATATTTTATTGCAAAAGCAGTTCAAAAGCACAGTCATTAATATACACCAGTTCCGGGCTTCCATCTCAAAAGCTTTGATAATACTTAGGTCTTTGAGTTGTAAAAATTCCCTAGGGAACTGGAAATACATTCTTATGATGGCTTCTTGATCTTTTATTGTATCCTCAAGCAAAGACCAAAAAGAGGATTGAATAAAGATAAAAACTACTGCAAAGAATACTTCACTTCATTGATAATAAATAACATGTTAGGCAGAATTGAACAGTACCTACTACTCATGACTACCTGACTAGAAGACTCAAAACTGAAATGAAGAGAGAAATAAATTTCAAACTGATCAGACATCTTTAATCACTAGATCTAGGGAAATTTAAGGTAATAGCTTATGATTTCCACCCGGAGGATCATTAGAAGAAAATGTCTTTATAAATACAAAATAGTTGTTCATAAAATATCAGAAAATATGTTTTTCAAAGTAACTGATAACAGAGTAAATGAAAGGTAACACCTGCAAGGCATTGTCCTTTTTGATATATGAAGGATTACACAGTTTATGCAGCAATTGTGGTACAATAACTGTAGCTTTATCTTTTTAGAAAGGAAACTGAAATAGATTACATGGAGAGAAAGTAACTTGTTCAAGAGAATAAACAGTGGTTATGGGTTTCAAATCCAACATTCATACTCTAGATCTTTTCTTCTGAATTAATATTTTATGTATTATAGACTGTCAATCTCCATAATTGTCAAGAAAATCTATTTAACCCAATTCAACATTTATCTTGAGAGGGATATGGAAAGAATCCTTAATCAGGTTTACTTGATTATGGACACATTCTATGACTATGGGCCTCTTCTCAGAGGATGCTAATATGTCTGATTTATGTTTATCTTTTTCTTCTTTCTTAAAGTTCAAATCCCATTCAAATTTCAATATGTAACTTAAAAACCACCACATAATTCATTAAATGTAAGTAGTATCTCCTTGCTTTAAACCATCATATTACTTTCTCCATAACTTTACTGGGACACATAATAACTTGCAAGTTAATAAAAATGATTACAAAAGTAAACAAAAAAGTAATTTTTAAAAGTAAAGAAAAAAATGTTATTTTTAAAATGTTAAAAGAGCACAAAATTGTTGCTCCTAAAAATATATAAAGGTCCAAACACTGACTCTGCAATTTGCTAATCATGTAAACTTGGTCTTAACCCATCTGCACCTTGGTTTCCTCATCTTTAAAATAAGCCTTATAGCCTGACTGCATAAGATTATGAAATGTGATAGTTTCTACAAAGTGTATAGCACAAAATCCAAAACACTGTAAGAGCTGAATACATGAACTTCATCTGAGGATCTGGAGACTCAACTCTTGTCTTCACTTTGTCACTGCCTTTAGAATTTTGGCATTCTAAGTTTTTAAGTTACATATTGAAATTTGTTATAACTTCCCATTGTACATTTATCCATTCAATCAATATTTATTGGATGTCTATCACGTATAAAACTCTGTGCTCAGATTTAGGAAAATACTTCTGTATAAATGAGATGGGAATACAGTTACACAAAAATCTTCACGGAAAATGGCCCCTGTCTTACTGTCTAGATTCAGTCCAAATGAATTGTGACAGTTTACCAAAAGATAGATCAATCTACCAATGTATAATGAAAAAACTTAAAGTCTTGGAAAAATTATACTAAACAGCAAAAAAGCAGGAATAAACTTGGTAGAGATAATACAAACTGTGAAATTCTGTATCCTTTATATGGCTGCAACTCAACCTTGTCAGTGATAGTTTTAAGCTCGTCAGTCTGTTTGGCCAACCAAAGAGAAATTCAATCATACAATTTAACATGATAAGGAGAGCAAAACGACCCCAAAAACTACTTAATACAAATTGTTTTGATTTTTTTTTTTTTTTGAGATGGAATCTCGCTCTGTTGCCCCGCCTGGAGTGCAGTGGTATGATCTCTGATCACTGCAAGCTCCACCTGCTGAGTTCACGCCATTCTCCCACCTCAGCCTCCCGAATAGCTGGGACTACAGGCGCCCGCCACCACACTCGGCTAATTTTTTGTATTTTTTTTAGTAGAGACGAGGTTTCACCATGTTAGCCAGGATGGTCTCGATCTCCTGACCTCGTGATCCGCCCGCCTCAGCCTCCCAAAGTGCTGGGATTACAGGCGTGAGCCACCACGCCCGGCCAATTGTTTTGATTTTTAAAACTAAGTTAAATAACTTTTGTGCTCACTCATAAAAAGAATAAAGTGATATATAGTGAACAATGACCCCCAAAGCATCACTGCAGTCAATATAATAACAAGTTTCATTAGATGGTTTTTAGAACTCTCTCTCAAATAAACTGGTGACATAATGTATTATGAGAGTTTAATAATTGCAATTCTATGCTGAACTAGTCTTTGACCTTAGGTAAATTACTTTCGCTTCTGTGAGTCATTTCTCCAATCTTTAAAAAGAAAGGCTGAACTAGATAATTTCTTAGGCCTTTTCAGTCCAAAATATATTTAATACATTTTGTATAATTAACTTTCCACACTTGCTACCCTACATCAACATGTATTCAGTGAAAAGGAGACTAAGCAGCACTGCATTATGCCACTTTTAAACCATTTTGCCCACAGAATCATTTCTTCCAAACAAATTTGGTTCAAATAACATAGAAATAGATAAATGGAGATATAGAAGCAAGGCTGGTCTGGTTGCAGTTGGAGTGGAGGTCCCAGACCTCAGCTTCTCCTGCTGCCAACAGTTCTGCACATCTGCCTTCAAGCTAATTCTACGAACACTAGGGCACCAAAGAACAAATCTGGAAAGTAACTGTAATGAAAGGAGCACACAGGCATTGAATGCAGACCTTCCAGATTTAAATACAGTTGGACCTTTTGTAACCATTCTACATTACTGGATTCAATCAATTATGGATCAAAAATATTTAAAAAAATTTGTGCCTGTATTGAATATATACTGACTTTTTCTTTTAATTATTCTCTAAATAATACAGTATAACAACTTTTTACAAAACATCTCCATTGTATTAGGTATTATAAGTAATTAGGATTTAAAATATAGTATATGGGAGGATGTGCACAGGTTATATGTAAATACGATGCCATTTTATATCAGGGATGTAAGCATCCACAGATTTTTGTATCCATAGGAGGTCCTGTAACCAGCCAACCATGGAGACTGTTGGAACACTACACTAAATTTAACACTCATTAGCTGTGTGAAGGCATGTCCAGGTTCAGTAACATTTCAAACAATCTGGGAGGATCTTCTTTTAAGAAAAAAAAATACAGGACCATAAACACAAAAATAGGCACAGCACCTTAAAAGAAGTGGGATAACAGAGGGGTCCTGAAGCTTATCTGAATGACTTTGTATGATGATTTACTTAGCTTATCTAAATCTCAGTTTCCTCAGCTAAATAAATAGAGTAAAACAACTCTTGAAGTTGATTGTGGATTAAATTAGATGTTTTTGATGCACAGTACAAAGGGACAGGCTATCAGGGAAAAATTATATATGTTAACTCTACTATACTCACATAAAGGACACGCTCATGAAAAATTCTACTGACAAATTGAATAGGCAAAGAACACTTTATTCAAGAGTATTGGATTATGGGACAGAGATTGAATTCTACTGAAACAAAAGCTGAAAGGTTTTTTAGCACCAGAGTGAGCTGTTGAAAAGGCTCTGGAGGACATGTCACAGGAAGGTGGTCAAGGTAATTATGTCTCTGTGTTTCCTAACCTGTGCTTATTAACATGAGGCTCCTACCCTCCCGTCGAGACTGGGAGATTGGGGTGTTCAACCTTTTTCACTGAACAACTTAGAAATTATGACAGATAACATTATACTCTTGTTACTGAGTATCAGCAAAGCAGCACCAATATATATTACAGACAGTGAGGCATTGACTAATTTCTGGGAACTTTAAAGTTTCTTAAACATTTATATTAATAACATTTTACCTAGAAAAGGTTAAATATAACCTAAGGAAGGTTAAGGTTTCTTATTATTAGACAGTACTTTAAAAGCAACTCAACATATCAAATAAACCTAATTATTCTTGACACCTCTCATTTTACTAGGTGAAAAAAATCCTTTCTGACTTTCTAGGGGACTTTTGGGAAATTCTAAAGTCATTTTGAGATTTAAAAAAAAAAAGGTTTCATTTAAGATTTGATTTTGGGTAGCTGAAATATCCAAAAATGTGAGAAGTTTTGGACTCTTGACTAAAAGGATTATTTGTCATTAAGAAATACTTGGCAGCCAGCTGAGGTGGTTCACGCCTGTAATCCCTGCACTTTGGGAGGCCGAGGCAGGTGGATCACCTGAGGTCAGGAGTTTGAGACAAGCCTGGCCAACATGTTGAAACCCCGTCTCTACTAAAAATACAAAAAAAATTAGCTGGGCATGGCGGTGCGCTCCTGTAATCCAGCTACTCAGGAGGCTGAGGAAGAAGAATCTCTTAAACCCGGGAGGTGGAGGTTTCAGTGAGCAGAGACTGCGCTGCTGCACTCCAACCTGGGCGACAAGAGCAAAACTCTGTCTCAAAAAAGAAATACTTGGCTATCTACTTAAACAAAGTGGCAGTAAGGGATTTCAAAACAAACAAGGAGGTAACATGATTGAAAAAACAATAAAACAACAATAACAAACTTTAGCTCTTTATTAAAGCAAAAGACTGGGTTCACTAAAGTAATCAAACCCTTGATAAAATCAACTTAAAACACAGGAAATTATCCTAACATGACACAGAATTTGTGATTTCTAAGCAGATTACTCAGAAGATAAAGAAAACAAAACTTTTGGAATCTCTTGTTAAGAGCAGACCGATAATCCAAGAAAATGTCATTTTAACAGAGAGAAAAACAAGTTCTAGTTTTGCATCATTACACTATTGATACTAAAAGTCATAAGAATAATAACAAATAAACCCATCCAATCTTAACTAGACTTGGAGGTACAAAATAGAATTTCATTCCTGAGAAACCTTCTATGGCTATCCATATCTATTTAGGTTTCATGCATATTCTCTTCTCATTCTGGAACTAGTCATTTTCCTTTAGAAAAAAATTACTTTTTTTGGCAACAAAAACATATTCTACAAACTTTCATAATTTTCTTTAACAAAGCAAATCATAAACTTCTTGCATCCTCTGAATACAAGGTTGTTTTCCCTTGTACTTATTATTTCTAGTCGTTTCATTCACATATATTGATTATAATTTTAACTAGTCCTAACATACTTTACAGACAAAACTAGGAAATAGACCACTGTGAACTGTTCTATATCAACACTCTACAGCAAATTAATTCAGTTTATGAATATACCATCTTGTAATATTTATAGGTCTATAATTTCTTATGGTATTATTTTTCAAACTTCTTTAGCAGATACGCAGTACACTGGCATTAGCCCTTGAATGGGGAATATGGTCCACTGGTTACCAATCCCAGGAGAAGACTCTAAACATCTCACCAATTTCTGCCAAGTTTTCTTGATCTGGCAGGAAGTCTTGCCCAAACCCCCCTTAAAAGATTTTGCACAAAGGGCAGGTGCAGTGGTTCACGCCTATAATCCCAGCACTTTGGGAGGCAGAGGGAGGTAGATCACCTGAGGTCAGGAGTTCGAGACCAGCTTGACAAATATGGTGAAACCCCGTCTCTACTAAAAATACAAAAATTAGTCAAGCATGCTGGTGGGCGCCAGTTGTCCCAGCTACTCAGGAGGCTGAGCAAAAAACATTTTGCACAAACTCAAATGCCAGAGTATGAATACAATGAGACAGAACACTCTCACAACAGGTTCTGCAAATCAAATTTGTCACTCACAGATAGAGTGCAAGAATCAACAGAAGCCCAGGCTCCATGACCAGCTGGTCTCCACTGCTCAGGAAAGCTGCCCAGTGCAGATGGAGTCTCGTTTGTGCATGCCTCACTTCACACCTCAGCTGAGGGATCCCCAAAGCATTCCACGCTGGGATTTTATACTCTGGGAAACACTTGTTTCCCTGAGCTAAAGCACTGTAGGGCATCCTGTTCTAGGAGGGACAAGGCCAAAACCTGAGCTGCTCTGAATAGTTCCTCCTTATATCAGGGCACTACCTTTTTAGCATATTCTACAGTTATCCTGAGACCGTATGTGGGAAGAGGAAGGGCTGGGTCACCCAAGGTTATTTTGGGACTGTCCTTCTGCAAATGTGGCCAAAATAACATGTTTATTAACAAACCCAATATTTTTAGCTTCTCTGTATCATGTAAACATCAGTCAAAAGTATATAAACTTACACATATACTTGCTAACGAATGTTTCACTAGTTTATTTAGTAATGATCTAAATGTTTAATGGATATCTATTACTTAATTGGGCATAAGTTTCATGTTGTGAGTTATCAAAAAACTTTTGAAAAGTATTTTTAAGCAGACATATAAAACATAATTAGGGTTGAAATACGAATTTGTCAGAATAATGACAAAATTTGATTAAAATCAAATTTGTTAATAATTTTAAACATCTGGTAGAAATAATATTTACTACTAAACCCAAGTAAAATAAAAATGTATGCTTGTATCATATTTAATGGAGAGAACTCAGAAAACAAAGCAGTTTTTATTAAATCAAAAATATTAAACTAGTCTTATTTGACAAAGATTTATCTGATTCATGTGAAATTAAAATTTTAAAACATTTGGGCAAGATTTTATAATATTTTTAAAAAATACATTGTAAGTATTAAAAATTCAACTTTAAAAATTTTTGACAGGTTTAGGAATATTTAATTTATGTAAGCACTTATGTGTGTCTATAATTTAGCACACGAGGTCATCACATATGTGGTCTCCACAATCAAAAAGAACTCTAAATGTTAAATAAACAAAGTTCGATCAAACAAAAGCTCATTACAATAAGAGCATGTGTATTAGTCCATTTTCACACTGCTAATAAAGACATACCCAAGACTGAGTAATTTATACAGGAAAAAGGGTTTATTGGGCTTACATTTCCACATGGCTGGGGAGGCCTCAAAATCATGGCAGAAGACAAAAGGCACATCTTACATTGCAACAGGCAAGAGAGAGAATGGACCCAAGAGAAACGAATTTCCCCTTATGAAACCATCAGATCTCGTGAGACTTATTCACTAACAGGAGAACAGTATGGGAGAAACTGCCCCAGTGATTCAATTATCTCCCACCGGGTCCCTCCCACAACATGAGGGAATTCTGGGAGTAGAACTCAAGATGAGATTTGGGTGGGGACACAGAGCCAAACCATGTCATTGTGGCATTAAAGTCAATTCCTGTAGTGGTCAGAAGTTTAGAGCAATAGCTCAGAAATAAGTTCCCTGATCAATCCATCATCTGGGAAGGCAAAAGTTAAAGGTATAAGCCTGGGGCTATGGGTACCAGGCTCTCTGAGACCCAATGATGAGTCAAATCCTATGAGTTGCATACCAGAACTGTTAAAGAAAAGTAGCACCATGGTAAATTAGCAAGGTGATAGGAGAGAGATTGAACTTAACTCCCATGAAACAAAAAGCAAATTTTTTTAAGCACTGGAGTGAGCTAGTGGAAAGTTCTAGAAGACTTTGGTAGAGAGATTTGTCCTGTGATTAGGTCATCCATCTGTGTTTGCTAATTGGCACTTGTTGAAATTAGACCCCTACCTTCCACAGAGACTGGGAGTAAGCAGACTACATTTTTAGACTATTATATTCCAAAGAAATGTCCCCTAGGCCCATGCAATAGACATTCCTTGGTTGTAAAACTAGCAAGAGGCTGAGAGAAGATTTGTATGTAATTTAAGGGTCAGAGAAAGAATTTGAACTTACAAGTTTTCTAAGAAAAGGGAGGTCAGGGGCCTAGAGTTAGGAAGATACTTTTTAAAATTTAGCTAAGCTGAGGGGAATGTCTTGGTGAGTTAATGTGGGTCATGTACAGCCTCAGAATTATGTGTCATAATCATCACTAATTGAAGCAAATAAAATTTTTAAGAGAAAAAAGGAAAAAAGCATTCCATCTTATACATTATCTTTTTTGTTTTTTCTAACTGCACATCATGGTTGCTCAAAAATAACTTATTCAATGAAAGAACCATTCTGAAGTCACCAAGAACCCAGAAATCAGACTCAGCTACTAGAGGGCAATCAGTGTGGCCAAAAGACACACAAGGTTTTCCACAAAGATGAGAGGAAAATGTAATAGGGGAGCGCCATTATTCAGGCTCACAGTGCATAGAAAATAGAAACAAAAATCAGCAGGAGAGGTAATGCCTAAGGGACATAAAGTTTTGAATAAGCTAGAAATTTTCGCCACCCCCTTAAAAACAGGGAAGAATTGGTCCCTGAGTAGACTTCAGGCTTCTCTTGGACGTAGGTAAGGTATGTGTACCAAAAAATTTAGATTGTTCCAATTCAACTTATTTAAAAATTTTATAGGCCAGGCGCGGTGGCTCACGCCTGTAATCCCAGCACTTTGGGAGACCAAGGCGGACGGATCACGAGGTCAGGAGATCGAGACCATCCTGACTAACACGGTGAAACCCCGTCTCTACTAAAACTACAAAAAATTAGCCGGGCATGGTGGCGGGAGCCTGTATTCCCAGCTAATCAGGAGGCTGAGGCAGGAGAATGGCGTGAACCCGGGAGGAGGAGCTTGCAGTGAGTCGAGATCGCACCGCTGCACTCCAGTCTGGGCGACAGCGCAAAACTCCATCTCAAAAAAAAAAAAAAAAAAGATTTTATTTCTTATGAAAGAATTCATGTGGCATTCACCATGCCACTGTTTTAATTTTGTCACACTATATGAAACAACTACCAAACTTAAAATTACATTTTAAGCCATTGAGTATCTTGCATTAAACAAGTTCTTAGTGCTTTTGTGTATTAAAATATCTCGTTTTATTTCCCATAGAAAATCACAATTCATATCATTTTTGACTCAAGATAGATACAAATAATATGTCAATAATCACTAATTATAGTCTGCTGTGAATGAACTCCATATATACACACATGCACACTTATACATCATACATTTAATTGATTAGCATTTTTAATAGCAAAATATTTTTAAAGGAGAAAACATGACGAGGCAAAGGAACCTGACAAGATGTGGAAGTTTATTTGACTTTAAGGTTTATAAATTATAGTTAAGCCATGAAGAACTTTCATATCAAGAAAATGTTATTTATTATGTATAAGTAATGAGTACAGCTCATCTTGCCTTTGATTTATTTTTGAAAATCTTAGAGAAATGCCCATAAGCTGCTGAAACACAACAGACTACAAAATGCTTCAGAAACTAGAAAAGCAGAATTTAAAATTTAGTACTTTGGTGTTTGTTATGCTGCACAATTTGTCAAATACTCCCAATTTTATTATTTGTAAATATTTAAATATTTCCAAAATGTTCTTTTTATGAGCATGTATTAATACTTGAAAAGAATTGCCAATCAAATTCATATGAATGACCACTAAAACGTATAATATACACAGGAAAGAAAAAAATGTGCAATTATGAGATCAATATTAACCAAGGAGAGAGCCAGACTGAATACCTTTAAATACAGGCATTCTTATAATCATATTTGATACTATCTATGCTTCCACCCTGACTTTCTTTACTTCATAGCCTAAGAACCAAGGACATCCAGAGACTTCTTTGAAGGACAGGAGTGTGAATCCCTAAAAATTATTTTGAGTCATATCTGAAAGTTTGTTGTGACATACAGTGATGCCATGAAATACTGTTCTGTAGGTGGTTTAACTAAGTTTGCCAGACAGATTGATGATTAATTCACCTTTGTCACTAATTTTTTGATGTAGGTACAGATTTCCATTTGAGATTTCTGTACCTTATTTCTTTGACAGCTTTCCCAATCTTGCCCTAAACAACCAAAAACTGAACACATTGTGTGTTTTGTTTGGCAACTGAGTGCAAAACAAAAATTAGCATGTTGTGTCAGATCCATGATTGATACACTTTAATGCTTGGCTTCTGACGGTTGGATTAGGAATTTATGTTAGAAGATAGTTTCCCCACTGAGTTTCCTAGGTATGATTGACTCCTTTACTGAATATTGCTGCCCCTCTGTGAGCATTGGTTTCCATTGTAATTAGCAGTATCAAAGTTTGGTGGGAGCCATTGAAGGCCCAAAGCTGCTTTGTATTCTAAGGATACCAGGGCAAGATGGATACCCCTTCTTGAGTTATCATCTCTAGAGTGTCATCATAGCAGTATTACCTGCACTCGCATGTCCTAAAAAAAGTTTTACTGAAAATTTAATAATAATAACTGATAGCCCCCCTTTTTTCCCTGGGTCACAAACAAAAGTTGATTAAAGCTTGAATCCTAAGCTTGTATAGATTAATACAAGTTAAAGAGAACCACTGTCCTCAAAAATCACACTGTCTATTCTCCTATGCATCAAGCTATTTACTTATATTTATTTTTATTTGCTTCCCTGATTTGCTTAGAATGCATTCTCTCCAAGTAACCTATCTGATTTTCAAGCAAACTGATGTGCATCATTAGATCATCAGATGGCTGCAGATATATCTCTGTTTTCTCTGTAAAACCAGTTTAAACTCAAGCTTGACAGTTCCACACCGAAGTGTTTATTTTGTTTTTAACACAGATTAACTTCTAAAGTTACCCATTGTATAATACAGCATTCAGAATTCTTAAGTTCAAATGTGAGTAGTAAAACTTTTGACTTCATTAACAAGCTTCTTTCTTTTAATTTTCTCCTATTCACTGAATTTGTGAAGGTAACCAGTATTTACCTTCCCCCAAACCCTGTGAAAGAAATGGTTCTGTTATTCATATTTGCATTCTAAAACTGTATGCAAACTCTACCTCACTGAGATAGGGAATAAAAGAAATCAGCTGTAGGGGAAAACATGTTCCCTGCTGTGCTCTCTTCTGAGTGTCATACAAACGTGTACTACTTCGATCCTTATGTGAATTGAATTTGGGACCAACTGAATGTTACTCAACAATATTTGGTAGAGCTGTGGTTGAACTCAGGCAGTGTGGCTTCAGAGACTTCAGCCATGGCCCTCACTAGACTACATCTTTCTTCCTTTTAGCCATTCTAGAAATGAAGAACTTCCTTCCTTAAAATACTGGCAATCAGTTTCTTTTCTTTTGCATACCACTGGATCCTCCCTATGCAAAGCAGGGATATTTATTAATATGAAAAATGTTGAACATGTGCTATTCCCGCCTTGCCATAGGAATAGAGGTAGTGTTAGATGTTATGTGATTGGTTTGCTCTCTTTGTCCGTAGTCTACTTTGGTGGACTCAGATTACCTGTGTAAAAACTCACACTCCTCACAAGTGGGTTGTAATATCCAGGGTGAAGGTGGCAGTCATCTCAAGTTCGAGCTATGTTCACTAAACCCAGCCTCACTAGGAACAAAAAAACGAGTATGTTTCTCACCATTTTGCAACTGTGCCTATTATTCAATTGGTTCAAAACTAAGTTTGGACTGTTGCTTCTTTAATTTCCACTATTATAATACTATGCTAACATTTGTTGAAGGCTTACTATGGGTCTCTCAAGCACTTTTTAAAATGCAAATTGAATATAGCAACACTATGACACAGGTTTTAGTATCTCCATTTTACTCATGAGGAAAACTTTGTTTTAGACAATTTAAATATCTTGACAGTTATTTGAAGTGCTTATATCTAGTGAATAAAAGAGTCATGTTCTATTCAGAATCTTGTACTCTGTGTTCTGTTTGATTCCAACTAATAAATAGCTGATGGCCTATCAGAAGCTCAGTGGAATGTTTAGCATGCAAACAAATTATTATTATTATTAGAAATGTATAAAGCTGCTTTGCTGTTTCTTGCCTTCATTCCATCCCTGTCTTCCAGGATGTGATATAATGTGAGGAAGTCGCCAAAGACTAAACATTCTTGGAAAATATTGCCTTAGCTAAATAAAGATAATGTGGAAAAGTTATATCAGTGTAATAGAACAATCTAATTCCCTTTTTCTATTTTCCAGTTTGTTTCAGTTATCGAAGTACATTTGTCAGTTCTGCTTTTCCTATGAATAATATGTATTATGGTAATAGAATTGTCTTTACCATAAAAGCATAAAAACACAGGGGGAAATATAGGTTTAACAAACTTCCAACTTATCTATTATATAGAATCTGATAAAGGCAATTTATAAGAAAATTTCATCATGGAATGCATTAATTGTGTATATTGTTTGGGATTAGGGCTGCACTTTCACAAACAAATATTCTAAGACATTTAAAATTGTAAATATCAAGGGATTCTGTTGTCATCTAATCTAAATGGCTCACAGAAATTGTTTACATGCAAGAAAATATTTTTTAAAATGTATTACCAGAAAACTTACTGATATCAAATTCCAGTGAGGAATAATATTCTAAACTAAACTCCATTCTGATGCAGCTTATACTCTTTCTCAGAGATTCATATCAGATTATGGAAAGCAGAATTCAATACCTTGAATAAAAGAAGGCATCGGCTTTTGAGCCACATAAATAAAGGTTTGATTATGACTCCACTACTTAGCACCAACAGGGCTCTGAGTAATTTTTAATTTTATTTTATTATTATTATTTTTGAGACAGAGTCTTGCTCTGTCAGCCAGGCTGGAGTGTAGTGGCACCATCTCAGCTCATTGCAACCTCCACCTCCGGGGTTCAAGCGATTCTCCTGCCTCAGCATCCCAAGTAGCTGCAATTACAGGTGCCCGCCACCACGCTCAGTTACTTTTTTTGTATTTTTAGTAGAGACAGATTTCATCCTGTTGGCCATGTGTGCCAGGCTGGTCTTGAACTCCTGACTTCATGAGTTTCACCTGCCTCTGCCTCCAAAAGTGCTGAGACTATAGGCATCAGCCAGTGCGGCTGGCCACTGGGAGTAATTTAAATAAACTTTCTTTGTTCTTTTTATTAAAACGGGGATGGAGATGCCTAGATGCGTTCTGTATATTAATTGAAATAGACATAAAACACAAGTGTATTTTAGGTGCTGAAAAGTATGAGTAGTAAATATTGCTTAAAGTGTTGCTCTATGTAAAATATAATTGGGATGAAAAAGTGAAAACACATGAACTGAAAAAAATGGGGTGCTTGACATATACAGCCAACAAACATATACGCTTGTCCAGAGAGCCCCAGACTTCTGTGTGTGAACATAAAATGCCCACCTTCTTCCACATGACCTTAGAAATAGCAATTATGTTTCTTATTAACTTTGCCAACATTTCCCATGTTATATCATTATGCTGTTTTAAGTACAGCACAGAAAACAGTTCTAAACTATGGTGAATGAATCAATGCCACGGTGACTCTCTCTCTAAATTCCTAAGTTTGGATTCCACTGTTCTCGAAGTAGACTGTAGCTATGTACCATCTCAGTAATAGAATAAATCAGCTGTTACAGCAGGCCTGATGTACTCCTAGATTACAAAACCACTGTTTACTATAATTATCCCCGGTACAATGCAATGTTTAAGAGTACGGAGCTTGGAGTCCAGCAGCCAAAGCTTGAATTATTATTTTGATGCATTCAGCCATTTTAGTTTGGAGAACTAAATTGGCACACCTTATCTTGAAAAACAGGATGATAACATCTATCTGGATATGTAATTTGTGGACATCATAGGAATCCAATTCTTGTTGAATGAATGAATAAATGCATGAATGTAGTCATGAATGACTCGAAACAACTGCCTTCTATGGTTGCTGGGGCTGAGTTTCAAGCTGTCATAAGATGATTATATAGGCATATATGGAATGTAACAAAACTTTTCACTTCATACTGATTTGTAGAGATGACAACAATATCCCAGAGAAATGTCTTTATGTCCCTAACCCCTAATAAACCATTCAATACATTTCCCCTATTGTTCACTTTCAGTATTAGTTTCTTAAATATCACAGCAGTTGCTAGGTCAATTACAAAAGTTCTTTGTTAATATAGCAAATACGTTTCATTTCTCTAGATATTGTAATACAGAGGCATAAATAATTTTAGCATTAATACAAAACATTTATTGAGCCTTACTGTGGGCAATATTTATATATGACAGGTACTTAACAGTGATTGATTTGATCCCATAGGAAGTTAATTAAGTTATTCAAAGCACTGGGTTACCATTTGGAAAGTTTCCCTAAAAGCTTTCTTGTAATAGCTAATTGTACTTCTATTTTATATTACTAGACAGCGGTGGTTGATGTTTATTCTGCACCTGGTTTCCTACCATGTGTAATACTATAATAGTTCTTGTGACTTATAGCAAATATTTCTTCATAATCACTGATAGGATACGACAGCATTCTTATGAGGAGAGAAACCCATGTTTTCAGAGATATAAATCCCAGTTATTTCTACATTAATAGTTTGGGAAGTAGAGTAAGGTGCTCTAGACTTATCTAACAATTTGAGGTTACAGGCACATTTAAAATCTTCAACTGATCAAATGTAGTATTTAAAAAATAAAACCCTTATTTTACATTACAAGGAAGTGGAAAAGGACCAGAATATTTTCGACCTTAATTCTTTTTTATATTGTGGACCTACTTTGATAATGACAAACTCATTTATCCTGATGTACAGTGGTATAAATTTCCTTATATATTACCTAAATGGTAAAAACAAAAACACAGAGACAAATTTCTAAGAATGCAGATACTTGGGAAAAAAAAGTACAGTTCTTCAGCCAGTGACAATGCCAGCTGCAGTGCTAAAGTTTCACTTAGTACAGATACTCAACTCCAGTCAAATACAGAATGCTAAGTTCCATACAGCTGTTTCCCCAACCTTCTCTGTTCACAAAAAAAACCTATTGAATGTTTAACTTAGGTAAGTTTTGTTTAAATTTAAAACCTATATGATGCAATGTGGAGACTTATTTTGTGTTGATTGAATATTCCCATTCTATTTCATTAGCACGTTTCTGTTGGCATTTCTATTGCTTTTATTGTGAATTGAGTATGAAAATGAGAATTAATTCTTCTACTTAATATTACATTTTAACATTCACTATCCTTACAGCTATTATTTTACTGTAATACAAAGATTAAATTTCATTTTAAATTATTCTAACCAGTATTTAGGAACCCTCACTTTCTACAACGTTGTTTTTAACTTAAATTTAAGTTAGAGTTCTATTCCAATGTAATCTCTTTGAACCTCCTGCTAAAATGATCTCTTTGCTCTTGATATGTTTTCACCTATCCTGTTCAACATAATTACTGAATCATGGAATTACAAATTGAAGCCCTTTGAAACTACTTATAAACATTATAAAATGCTTCATATCTTGAATGGTGACATTGTTTATTTAATATTATGTGTTTACCAGTAAAATCAGATACTATTTCTCCATCCATATATACGTGGCTTTCTTTATCACCTCTAAATAAGAAATGTATGAGGTGGCAATTTTGATGTACAAACATTTCAGTGGATTTTGACCTTTTATCTTTTACATATATACTCTCTTTTTCAGTGATTCCAATTCCTAGTGTTAACTCCTAACTATATGCTAATAACATTTACATTTATGTCATCAGTTCAGGTCTTGCTCACCAAATCCAGGCTTAGTATGTAACCACATACTCAGTCCTCTATGCGCATGCCTACTGGATATCTCAAAATCAAAGTGCCTTAGTTAGCAGGCCTGCTTTTCTCTGCCAAAGTTCTCCGCCTATGAACTGACTTATTTCGGGCAATGACAATCTTTCAGTTGCTTACGTTGACCAATGTCAAGTCCTGACTCCACTTTCTCTCACACTACACACCCAGTTTCAGTTAAACCTGTTTGTTAAGCCTTCAAAATACTCTGTAATTAGGAAATGACCATTTTCAGTACTTTGATTGTCACCACCAAATTTCCTATGTGGATCACTGCAACATAACCTTCAGTATTATTTTCGTTTTTCTATTATATCCCCTATCTATTGCATTCTACTTTTATAGTAAGTCAAATTACCTTTTTAAATGTAAATCATAATATGCCACTCTTGCTCCAAATCCTAAAGTGGCTATGCACTTAACTTAGAGTTATGTTGCTACAAGGCCCTAGCTAACAAGAACTCAATTACCTTTCTGACCTCATCTCTTACCACCCATACCACACTATCTCAGTATACAAACTTAGGCTTCCTTGATACTCTTGGAACATACCAAGCTTGCATCTGCCTTAGAGACTTTGTCTTAACTATTTCCTCTGTATGACTACTCTTTACCCAGACATGCATATGACCATCTCAGTATTTGCTCAAACATCACTTTCTTTTTTTTTCTTTTTAAATTTATTGAGATACGTTTTGTAGCCCACAATATGATCTTTGTAAATATTCTATATACACTTGAAAGTAAATGTCTATGCTGCTTTGTCGGGTGAAGTTCTGTATAAATACTTCTTTTTTTTCATTATTTTATTTTATTTATTTATTTTTTATTATACTTTAAGTTCTAGGGTACATGTGCACATCATGCAGGTTTGTTACATATGTATACACGTGCCATGTTGGTATGCTGCACCCATTAACTCGTCATTTAACATTAGGTATATCTCCTAATGCTATCCCTCTCCCATCCCCCACCCCACAACAGGCACTTTCTTAATAAGAACTTACCTGATCATCCTATTTAATGAAGACATCATTGTAATGTCTCCCTCCTCATATTCCTTTCCTCTTAACTTATTACAAACCTCTGATCCTTATCTGCCTCTTTTTATAGCACTTATCACTCTCCAAAATTTTATACATTATGTGTATTTATTTTTTAATTATCTATTTCCCATTTCCACTAAAACTGAAGCTATTGAAGATCAAAAAGAACACATAACATAGATATTATGCTTGTTCTGTTACCCACTGTATCCACTTGTAATCAAGTTCTTGGTAGCTAACAGATGAATAGTGAGTATTTCTTGAAGGAATAAATGAAATGACTTTAAATTTTCCTCCAGCCATGCCACTATCTAAGTATTACACTCAAAATTTGTTCTTCATAATAAATTCCTATTTTAACATTCTCAATTTGTACAAAGATTAAGAACACTTTACATACACTGGAAATTCATGCCTTGCGTACGTCTGCTACATTGAATTGTGTGTGTGTTTTTTTTTAATTCCTCTGCTGCCTAAGTGAACACTCAATTAATTCATATTAATTGCAGTCATAGTTAAAGTTGATTGATGCCAGGATCTTTCTTGATGTGACTTCTCCCCTATCTTCAAATATTTTGATATATAACCTCATGTCCTACTTCTCCGTACTGCTCCAAATAATTGCATAGTTTATCTCTGTATTAATATTTTTATCTTTATTTTGTTTTTAAATTCTTTTTCAAAAAAATCATTTATTCCTGAGTTTACGTATCATATATAGCTCTTTTAATTTATGATTCAACAAAAATAATTAATTCATAATGTGAATGGCTTCTTTCCATAAATTATTCTAGATTGTGAGTGAAGAGACATCTGGGTAGAACTCAGTAGAATCAATTTTCAGCATCGCATTCCCAGAGTTATGGGTGTGATTCTCTGATTCATTCTGTGTTAAAAATATGCCCGAGTGCTGTTATGAAAGACAAAGTAGTGGTGTCAGTGGTATCCCTGCAGAATGTCATTATAAGCCTCAGCTATGACACAATGAAAGTATAGCTGGCAGTAAACCAGGAACCATATCAATTACATTAGAAAGTAAACTATTCCCAGTAATAAAATATGTTAATTTTCAATGGAAGCAATTGAAATCTTCGGTAGAAGAGGTCCCCCCAGCCCCTGTGCACCTCAGGAATTTTTGCATTCCTCCTAGTATATTTGCTTCATGCATTAAATAATTTGTTCTCTAAAAATGATGGCTGGGCTGTAAAAGTTCTTTATTCCATCATTGCTTTTAGGAAACCTCAGATAATGGATATGAGGTTCCTAATGAACATTTTACACTAACATTTCATTTTTGGACAAAGATTTTTCAGACATGAGTTTAATACGTCATTTAAATAGAGATTTGTTCCAAGTGGTAACCAATACCTTCAGGTGGTAGAACTTTCATACAAGCAATTTCCATCTTAATCATCTAAAGATAACTTTAACAGTTTCATAAAATTGAAGATTATATTACGTGGAGAAAGGAATTTCTTACATCTCTATGGATTTCTGTGACAGAAATCTATAACGATTATATGCTACAAAACTCAGGGCTTTTTTAACTGTAGTAATCTTGAGCCAGCTTCATGCTAAAACCAGACTTTTCATGGAGAGCTTTTGATAGTGAGTTACATATAATCACACGTTTGGTTATAATTATAAGTTAAATTAGTACATTTTATTAACCAACTCACCTTAAAATATTTTTGTTAATTTTAATGTGCTAAAGTTGGGAGAAATTTAATTCTCACAATTAGGGCTGGCTCTAGGCAGAATTAGGACATTGCTGTGTGTGTTTTCGGTAGTGCTGCGTTTTTTATTTTTGGTGGCTTTTAGCTTCTTTCTCCAAATGTACCCAGGCTCCTGATTCATAGTTTCACCCAAACTATTCTTGCTTGCTTCATAGTATGTACTGAATAAAGTTTTGTTGAAACAATAAACAGACTCCTATCGTTATCTGTATCTATGGACAAGCTTTATCAATTGCTTTTCTTCTCTATTATCTTGCACACAAATAAATTAGAAATGACTCACAGGAAATGAGCTGATATAAAGAAGTACATTTAATGTACTAAAACTGTGATATAAAATAATATGGTTTAAATAACATCCAGCAGATCCATTTCTACATAATTGAGTTTTCTTGCTTGTTAAGGTGATGTAAGAAGGTGATATAAGGATAAAAATTGTTATTCCAATGGAAATTGATGAGAACACACATACTGAAACCCTGTTCTCCATATATTTACTTGAAGGAGAAACATGAGTAGACAGTGAAGTAAGAAAAACCACAGTCCTGTAGTCCATTGTTGGAAGTGAGTCCAATATGGAATTCCTGGATACAGGGTGGAATCAGGTAGAGTCTTTTATTTTCCTGTGCAAGAGAGTTCCAAGATGCCATCATGAGTTAAAGCCCGGCCCAAAGAGCAAACAAAAGTCTACAATTATAGTTTCTTTTTTTTTTTTCAATGATCCAAATATGGTGAGGGAAGACTATGTTTGTCAGGATTAGAGCAAAGGAGCTAAAGAGAAAACCGAACACACACACACACACACACACACACACACACACACACTGAAGTGTTTTTTGCAGCTCAGGTATGGCAACTGTCTTACTATTTTTCAACTCTAGTGTCTAGGATAAGAGCATCCAAAGAGTGAGGGAAAAATTCAGGGAAATCTGAAGAAAGATCAGTGCCCTAATCACTGAATTTGGATAATATCTATGGATATTTTCACAGGAAAAAAAAAAAAAAACAACAGACACACAATACTCTTAGCGTCTTTTTTATTTCTGCCATTCCTTAGCTCCTGGTTTAAATATTTTAAACATATTCACTGCAAAATCATCATAATAAATGCCAAAGTGCCCCCCAGCACACTGAAATACAGTTTATTTTATTTTTTAGTCATAACTTTGCTGTTTTTATCTAACAAAACGTATTCATTCTTCTTACAGAAAATTTTCTTATATCTAGGAAAATATCATTTTATGAATCAAAATGCTCAAAATTCCAAAATTCTGGCATTATTGATTTATGACATCTTGGATGTTTTAGTGTTGTATAGATGTTTTTGCGTAATTGATATCTAAGCATATACAATTATGCACTATTTATTAATTCCAAAAATGTTTATTTAGCTTTTAGAATGTGCCAAGCATTGTTCTCGAAATCAAGGATGTTTCATTGACAAAACAAATTTGCTGCTTTGATGGAGCTCACATGTCAGTGTGTGTGAGACAGGCAGTAAACAGTAAGTAACCTAGTATGTGCCAGCACAGAGTGTGAAGAAAATAAAACCTTTGTAAGGGAAAACTTAGTGGCGGGCGTAGAAGCAAATGTGTTCTATGTTGCTCAGGAATGTCTCATAATAGTGTAGTATAAGTGCAGCAGTGTCAATATTGACAGCAGTGTTTCATGTTATTAAAAATGTAATGGCTCATTGAATGGTTGCATAGTATTCCTCTGTATTTATCCACCACCATATATTTAACTGGACTCCTATGGTTTGAATTTCAGGTTGACCTTTTCATAGTTTGAATAGACTGCAACAAACATATGCAGGGCAAGGCTTGCTCACATTTCTAACATTTACTTGAGAATTGACATTTAAATGTAGAATTGCTGTGTCAGATTTTAATCACTTTAATGATCTTGTACCAATGTTGCTCTGCTTTTCAGAATGCTTTTGATAATATGCAGTTGATTCTTGAAAATCATGGGTTTGAACTGTGCATATGGGCTTAGATATGGATTTTTGTTTTCAAACAAACCAGATCAAAAATACAGTACTCATGGCATTGGAGGCCTGTGTATATGGAGGGTCAACTTTTCATACATGCAGGTTCTGTACGGTCGACTCTAGGACTTGAGTAGATGTAGATTTTGTTATATGAGGGGATCCTGAAAGCAATCTCTTCTGAATACCGAGGAATACCTGTATATATTTTTTCCAGAAGTATATGATATTGCTCTATACATTATTTCCAAGCCAACATTGCTTATCACTTTTTTCATTTTTACTAGTTTGATAGAAGAAAGAGATGGTCTAGGTGTTTATTTAAGGGTTCAAGTGCTAACAGCTCTATCAATTATTTTACTCTGTGCTTATTCTTGTTTCTCATAGCTTTTCATTATTGCATAGTAATTTAGAAAGTATTTTTTCTGTAGTAAAATAAGTTATGCAAACAAAATTTTACGCTTTAGTTGTAAAATAAATTTAGAAACCAAGTATGATTGAAGGGGCACAGGAATAAGGGATCCTAACTTTTTCTTGTCCACCTATTCCCTAGTGGATCCCAATGGATTCCCCCAAAATGTGTTTTAAATAAATAGTCCATAAGAAAAAAACATTATATACTTCAGAAGATGATAACACTCTCTTTGGCTTTGCTAACTTTAATATTCATTTCTCACCCCTTGTCTCCTAAACTCTAGCCGTAGAAAGCAAATTGGAAATTTCTCAGATGTCATAACCTGCTTACCTTCTGGCCTTCTCCCAGCCTGCTTCTTCTAAGAGAATATACTTTTCCTGTATGGTCCCTCCAACTTCAAAACTACTAGCGGTTCTTCATATTCAGAGCCAATGTCCTACTCTCAATCTGCTTTCCACCTGGGTCAGGCATTCTTGCTTTTTGTTTATTATGGCAGAGTACAGAATTCTTAGCATACCTCTATGATTAAAACAATGTGTTTACTTCATGGCTCTTACACTAAATTCCTTGAGGATACAAATGAAGTCTTATTCATTATCCTAGTTTTTATCATTCGGTGGATGATCATGAAATCATTCTTAATTTAATAAGCAAAAGGTATCTTTACCATATATTAATTTTGACATCTTGCTAGAATCCCCAACATTTAGAAAATCCATTTCTCACATCCATGCAACTGTCTGTAAAATAAACTTTAAGCATATCACTTAGTGCTAAAAAAATTCAGTGTTTTTCCGTTGCCTACCAAGTAAATCAAATGTCACAGCTTGATTTTAAGAATCATCTATACTATAGTTCCAGTCTGATAGTTTAGCCTGATGTGGATATGACCTGCTTACAAAATCTGTTAACTTCTTATCATTGCCTGCCATTCTTTCCTCAATACCTCCCAGTAGCCACTGTATTGAGAAGGACTCGTACCAATATTTATAATGGTTATTTGTCTAAATTGCCTTCCCTGACTCCTCCCAATTGAAGAGACACTCTACTTTTTCTGAACTCCCATATGATTTTGTAATTTTCGTATAGCACTAACTGTAGGCTGCCTTTTAAAACAGTCATTCCTGTTTTCATTAGGTGTACTTAACGATTATTTCTGTGTCCCATAATATCATTATTATATTTCTGTCACAGTAATACCATGTTATTAAAATTATGAGTTTGGGTCTAGGCATGGTGGCTCATGCCTGTAATCCCAACACTTTGGGAGGCTGAGGCAGATGGATCACTTCAGCTTAGAAGTTTGGGATCAGCCTGGCCAACATGGTGAAACTCTGTCTCTACCAAAAAATACAAAAATTAGCCAGGCATCGTGGCTCAAACCTGTAATCCCAGCTACTTGGGAGGCTGAGGCAGGAGAATCACTTTAACTTGGGAGGTAGAGATCGCAGTGAGCCCAGATATCGCACCACTACTCTCCAGCCTGGGCGAAAGAGTGAGACACTGTCTCAAAAAATATATATGTGTATATATATATATACATATACATATATATGTATATATATATATACATATACATATATATGTATATATATGAATTTACACATTTCTTATTCCCTTTGGGGTCCCCACAATTAACATGACAACTCTTTGAATAGATACTAAATGACTGATGAACATACACATACAGTTATCATCCTGAAAATGATTGTAAACTTTCTGAGGAAAAATGGCTTTTACTGTATGAAGTTCAGTGTGTTAAATATAATGGGTAATTTATATGTGTTTATGGAAATGAATTAACAAACATTTGACCTTATAAAAGAATAAACCACCAAATAATTGCTGGCTTAGATTAGTATCTATTTTCTGTTTTCATTCTTCAAGTATTTTTTGACTACTGTCCTTGACTCTCCTTGAATTATTTATCACTTAATCTCGTGGATTTTAACCATTTCTGGCTACCGTGATAAATCAAAAAGTGAAATTTCTGTTTTATTATGTCATTTTTATATTGACCAAAAATAATATTGAATAGCTGATTTCTTTTTTTATTAATTTTGAATAAAAACTACTTAAAAATATACAATGAACCTGAAATGTTTTTGTGGATTTAGGAAATAAAGAACTTAATGAGTAAATGATAGACTTAGGCCAAAAAAAGTCAGCCAACCTGACTAAGTGTTCAATGACCATAACCTAGAAAATTTGAACAAGAAAAGTATTGGATTATAACATACAATAAACATTTACAAGCACATATAGACATGAGTAATTTAATCAATAAATATATAAAAAAGAAGAGATCCATCTTTAAAAATTTAAGTTAATGCATAGAAGAAATTCAAGAAATGATAAGTCATTTAAGGAAACAAAATTTGGGAAGAAAGAGGATATTAGAGTAATCTCAAATACTTATCTGAAGATGTTTATCGGTTACAAACTTTAAAAATCAATTTAGAGAAAACTGAAAGCTATCAGCTGAACCAAGTTATCAAGGAACACCATAAGTAATAAGGCATATGGATATCTTGAATGCCCAACATAATATATGAGAATGACAACATGGAGTCTTGCCAAAAATGCATAATATTAATCTAATTATGGGAAAAAACAGGCAAACCCATATTGAGAAACATTCTACAAAATAACTGCCCAGTAATCAACAAAAGTATCAAAGAGAATCATGGGGGATAAGGAAAGAATAAGAAACTTCACAAATTGCTAGAAACTAAGGAGAAATTAGAACTAAATGTAACATGGGCTTCTGAATGGGATCCTGGAACATTAGAAAGGTCATTGGTGGACAAACTGGTAAAAATCAAATAAACTCGTCATTGAGTTAATAAGTTAATTTCCTGGTCTTTATCATTGCATCATGATTGTGAATATTTTTAACATTAGGAGAAGATGGGTGAAGAGTGTATATGAACTCTCAGTATTATTTTTTGCAAATATTCTATATGTTTAAAATTACTTCAAAATAAAATGTTTAAAAACTACTTTATGAATGCAATTTGTTTATATTGGTAATAGTTTTTTGAGTTTTCGTCAAAATATTATAAATTCAAATGCACATATTCCTACTATGTCAAAATAGTGGCATATAACTTTGTTTCTTCCATTTGTAATCTATTCAGAAGAAAAGCATTGAGATAAAACAATGCTTTGCAAAATTAAGAAATAGTTATTTTAGATTTTGTCATGTTTCTTATCTAATTTCTATTTAAAAATAGAAATTACATTGCTTAAAATTAATATAAATGAGGAATTATAAAACTATTCAGAGCATTTTGGGAGGAGTTATTCCTAATAAGTAAATATTTCCCATCTTATGTACATTTCTGTTATCGCTTTTCTTTTTTATTTTTTGAGTCGGAGTCTCGCTCTGTCGCCCAGGCTGGAGTGCAGTGGCGTCATCTCAGCTCGCTGCAAGCTCCGCCTCCCGGGTTCACGCCATTGTCCTGCCTCAGCCTCCTGATTAGCTGGGACTACAGGCGCCCGCCATCACGCCCGGCTAATTTTTTGTATTTTTAGTACAGACGGGGTTTCACCGTGTTAACCAGGATGGTCTCGATCTGCTCACCTCGTGATCCACCCACCTCGGCCTCCCAAAGTGCTGGGATTACAGGCGTGAGCCACCACGCCCGGCAATCCCTTTTCTTGTGTATGACATTATACTAGCAGCATAAGACTCTACTTGGCATGTCTTATTGTTATTTATTAAACTAATAAGTATGTCATTCAGTATACACTAACCTTGTGCTAACATCTGTTTGTGCATAAATAGCTATTTTTCCAACAAGATAAATGACCAAAACCTTCATATTATAAGCAGAAATAATTATCCACACTACAGAAAATGAGGCCTAATTAGAATCTTAAAACTATAGCAATTTGGCAAGCTTTTTAGGTATGGTAACTGTAAGAAGAAACTACCAAACCTACTAGGTGTTTATTAAAATGCAGTATTGCTAATTCTGCTTGGCAGATTCCTTCACAGATGGTACATGTTTAGCTACATTTCTGCAATTAATTGTCCCAAGACAGATGTGCTGAAAAATAATTGTATTCTCTTATGATTTGCTGTTATATTTGTGCAGACTTATCTGAGACACATAAGCTAAAATAATCCTTTTTGACCATACACTTTAGTCAGCTGACTAGTATTACTGCCATAATTCTAAAAATTCCAAAGTTTAAGGAATAGATGAAAACAGAAAGTTACTCATGCCTATAAGGAAATGAATATTACAGCTAGATTCCTTAAATTCCCAAATTAAAATAAAATGTTTAAAAATTAATGATTTAGGTACAGATGTAAAATCACTATCATTTTCACTGCCATTTATCCTCATTACTATCTACAAAAAAATGAAATCACAATTATTCCCTAAATTAGTCCTCTGTTCTTTTTGCATATTTTAATCAATATACTGACCTACCTCTTTTTCTTAATAATTTTAGGAAAATAAACTGAAAGCTACTGTCAAAAAAGTTTAACCATCTGCTAAAGGAGATTTTACCCTGTCACTTGGGCAGATGTTCAGCAATGGAATTATGCCAGCATAATTTATATATCATGTGAATTTACATGTGGATGTAGAGGAAAAATTACTTTTATATATATATATATATATATATATATATATATATAAAATCTCCATTAAGTAAAAATTGATATTACTTTTTTAAAAAATCTTTCTTTCTCTTTATGCTCTGCCCTCCTATCCCCATGATGGAAGGCAGAATATGTTGGTATTGCCTGTGTACTTAAATCTAGAGTCAGATGGTATAAAAGAATAATTTCTACAATTTTTTTTCACTTTATAAGATACAAAGATGTTTCCCCACAGAAAGACAAAAGGAAAAAGAGAAAAATAGTAAACTAGGACACTTAGCTATATTTATTGAACAGTGTGCTAGACTACAATTCTATTCTATTGGGAATTATTTGATTTTACCTCCTCTCACACAAAGTGAGGATTAATTGTGTTTGCCGAAGAAGACTAAAGCTGGTGCCACCATTTTGGGGCAGGGGGTTTTGATGTGTCTAGCTTATTCTCTTTTGTGAGATACCTGAAGGGTACACTATTTTTGGAAAAAAAAAAGTTTGAGGTTGGGCATGATGGCTAACGCCTGTAATTCCAGCAATTTGGGAGGCCGAGGCGGGTGGATCACCTGAGGCCAGGAGTTCGAGACCAGCCTGACCAATATGGTGAAACTCCTTCTCTACCACAATTATTAAAATTAGCTAGGCATGGTGGTGTACACGTGTAGTCCCAGCTATTCGGGAGGCTGAGACAGGAGAATCACTTGAACCTGGGAGGCGGAGGTTGCAGTGAGCTGAGATTGCACGACTGCACTGCAGCCCAGGTGACAGAGCGAGACTCCGTCTCAAAAAAAAAAAAAAAAAAGTTTGAAATTCCTTTGTTTTATGACCAAAACACAAGCAATCACCATATTTTCCCTGTGTACTATACTCATAGAAAACAAATTGACTCTCTAAGCCCTGTGTGCCTTCAGAATCAAAAACAGTAAAATTCTACTGTTTGAATTTGTTGGTCAGAGTACCACAATTTCACTCCAAATGCCTTGGAAATTGATTGGAGAATACGTATAGACACGTGAGTCTACATTTACGGAATTTTATGTTTGAGCAGCTTGTAGAGATTATTTTATCTCATTTGCATATTTCTAATAAAATTTAGACTATATTCTTGATTGCATACTTTCTTTAAATCATGATGAAGAAGTCTTTCTATTTTTCTGCAATATCTTTTATTTCATTTATGCCATATCTAAGTCTAAAATGGAGACAAATTTTGTTCAGTCATCCCAGTGGAATTCAGGCTGTCCCTTTACAGCTTCCTAGTTCATTAAAATTGGCAAACTAGAAAGCATAACTAGGGATCACTTTTTCAATTTCTAAAGACTTTATATATTTTTCTAAAAAGTCAAGGAGGTACTTTAATGTTTTGACTATTATGAAAAGTGTTGAGAAGGAGTCTAGTCTGTTTCACTTGTTCAATGATGTTTCATCTGTGATCCCATTAACTTGGCTCCTTTATGACCCTCTTAATATTTAATATATTTTCTATTAGTAGTGATGGCTCAAGCTGAATGGTATAAAACAAGATGTTATCATGGAAAGTACTCGAAGTTTCAAATATTTCCTGTTTTTGTTCGTTCCAGATTAGTCCACTTACTGATGAAATTAGTAACCCCTAAAATCTATAAAACAATAATTTATAGTTGAGTTTATGGACATTTATTCCAAGAAAATGTCACCTTTCTTGTCAGTCCCATTTTATGAATTGCCCTTTACCACCATGAAAATGTGTTCACAAATGAAATGCACCAAATTTAAATATGGCCTGTATGTAGTCATTGGAAATCCAAGGAGGAATATTTCAAACATGTTTGGTGCAAACTAACCAGAAATATTTGGTAGTTAAAAAGTTTTATTGCCACTAAAATAGAAAATATTATCAGTTTGGACAACATTTCAAACAAAGAAATGTTAGAGATAATGGAATTACTTAAGCTAGAGAATAGAAAATTAAGAAGATATGTTATAATTATTTTTAAATATTTGAAAGACTGCTTTATCAGTCAAGTTAGATAAAGTTAAAATGCATAAAATCTACTTAAACAAGCTCAGTATCTTAAAAAACAGAAACAACAGGCCAGGCACGGTGGCTCATGCCTATAATCCCAGCACTTGGGAGGCCGAGGCAGGAGGATCACATGAGGTTAGGAGTTCCAGACCAGCCTGGTTATCGTGGTGAAACCCCGTCTCTACTAAAAGTACAAAAATTAGCTGGGCATGGTGGCGGGCGCCTGTAGTCCCAGCTACTCAGGAAGCAGAAGCAGGAGAATCGCTTGAATCCGGGAGGCAGAGGTTGCGGTGAGCTGAGATGGCGCCACTGTACTCCAGCCTGGGCGACAGAGCGAGACTGTCTCAAAAACAAAAACAAAAACCAGAAACAATTTATTTTTAATGCAATCAGCCAAAATCAGTAAGTAGCAGCTCTCTCTACAGTGTACTCTATCAAGAACTGAAGATGATGGCGCCTCTACCATGTGTTATGTGGCTTATCATTAGTTCAGAATCATGGACGACAAATAGAGAACATGACAAGTCATGCACCAACTATTCAAGGTATCTGCTCAGGTGCAACATAGCTTATGCCATTTCATGTTTCATTGCACAAAGAAAGTAACAATACCATATTTCACTTAAAGGAAGTAGGGAATTGCACTTCTACTATGTAACCAGAAAGGAAAGACGTGAAAATATTGAAAAATGGCACTGCCTACCCAAACTGTCATGCAGAAAATTGATGCCCACAACCTTCCCTGCATGAATGACAAGTTGTTGATGTACGTGTGGGTATAACACTCCTAAAAGTATACACAGATTGTTACAACTTCCCCCTGCCCCAATGACATAGATGAGTCTTTTGTAATACAAATGCCCTGAAATGCTAGCTGTTATGGAGTCAATGCCTCTCTTGAGATGGCATAGATGTTAAGTAGGTGCAAATTTAGAAGGATGGTGTTGAGTTCTCTAATAATTCTCGAAAGATTAAGATGTAACGGTATGCTATAAATTCGAGACTAAGTACTCCCCCCCAATGGAAAAACTTAGCATGGCTTATTTATTGTACTTTAAAGCGGATTTTGGAACAATCATGCAATATACATTTAAAAATATCTCGTTTTGATGATAGTTCTCTCTGTCTATAATGTAAGTAGCACATTTGTGCATACCTTGGAGGCCAATGGGAAAGATTTTCAAAACTGTGGACTTTGCCTAGCATAACTGGAGCCCTTCATTCTATGCCTTTCTTGTAGTTTATCTCTTAGTAGTTAATGAGCAGATCCGTGGTTAGACTGCCTCTGTTCATATCTTGGCCTGGACTCTTAAGAAATTTTTAAACCCAGAAAATTTTAAAACCCAGAAAAATTACTTAATCCTTCTAAATTTTAGACTTTCTCTAAAATAAAGAATATTTCCTTATTTAAATATTCTTTGTATACAAGGATTAAATGCCACCATAAATATGAAACTGAATAATGAGTGTATACAGTAATCACTCAGTAAATGCTGGCAATATTGTTATCACCACTTATTTCTTGAGATTCATTACTCCAGTTGTGTATCTGTTACTCTGCAACTCTGTTATCCTTAGCTGAAAAATTTGGTAGAGATTCTCACATTTTGCTTCTTCGAGTAGCTATGGCTACAAATATGGTACTGAACGCTGGAAACAAGTGCTAGTCTAAGAGTTGGTTGCCTTTTACAGAGATTTTTAACAGCTAATCAAGAAAAAACAGGAACAATCTTTAATAATTACAATTGGTGAAAGTAAAACTAACTGGCTTGGAAAATTATTTTAAAAAAAAAACTTCCTAATTATCCGGATTCCAAGCCTTCATACCATTCTGAGTTCTCCTGCACCACCATCTTTAAATATGATGTCTTACATTTACATTCTTTTGGTTATTTTTTTCCTTAACCCCCTTTAAAATTGTTAAAAATTATTACACTCAGCTCCTTTACAAATAATTTTTGGAGCCACTTTTATTATGAATCTGAGCTCATATTACCTTTAGAATTTTTTTCATCAGACAACTCCCTATCATAATCTCCTCAAAAGTAATTTCAATTTTCATTACTTCAAGCTTCATTGAGGTAAACTGGTCAAAATTTGTGTCTGTTTAAGGTGTACAATGTGATAATGTCATATAAATACACATTATGAAGTTATTACCACAATCAAGCTAATGAACATATACATCACCTGTTAACATTACCATTTTCATGTGTATGGTGAGAACACTTAAAGTCCACTCTATTAGCAAATTTCCAATATGTATGCCATAAATGAGATTTTTCAGAACTTATTAATCTAACAAACTTTCTGTGCTTTTACCAAAATATTTGCAAATCATACATCTGATAAGGTGTTAACATCCAAAATACATAAGGAAATCAACCCACTCAATAGCAAAAAACACATAACCCACTAAAAAGAAGAGTATAAGCCTGAATAGACATTTCTCCAAAGATGACATGCAAATGGTCAACGGGCATATAGAAAGGTGCTCAGTATCATTAATCAGGGAAATGCAAGTCAAAACCACGATGAGATCACATCACACCTGTTAGAATGACTAATATCAAAAAGATAAAAGATAACAAGTGTTTATAGGGATGTGGAGAAAAGGGAACCCCCGCACACTGTTGGTGGGAATGTAAATTGGTACAGCCATTATGGAAGACGATATGGATATTTCTCAAAAAATTAATTTCTTATTTTAATGTTGAATCTCTAATTTTTTTCTGTCCAATTTCACCAAACAAAAACCTTGGCAATTTTTATTATATAAATTAAAATATAATTTAAATTTCTTTATACTCTTGGAAAGATAAGTTTTGTTCTCTTAATTCCAACATATGTTAACTCATCACTTATAAAGAAGACTTTAGGTTGACATTAAGATGTCCTACCATTTATATTTCTTGTAAATAATTTTATCCCTAGACTTCCTAAATAATGAGGAAAGATTATCTCGGCATATATACACACATGCACACGCAAACGTGGTGCAATAGAACTTCAGATAGTATTCATGTTAGCTTACTACCCAATGATTTTTATTTGCTCTTCATAATAGGTAGAAATGGAAAAGTCATGACCAGGTAAATATGCCCAGCCACATGTCTAATTTCTATGTATTTCCCATGTGTTCGATGAAGAAAGTAAACCTAAAGTGTGATGAACATGTTAGCGACAATATAGATATATCACAATATTATCTCACATTTGATCTTTTGAAATGCCTTAGGTTGCAGTGATGATAAAGGACTTCGTGTTACAATACTTTGGAAACCACACATCACTATGTTTTATAGATTTGACTTGAATATAGTATGTTTTTTCTGCTTGTAATTCCTAATCTGAATGATCATCATAATCTCTTAGGTTGATTTTAAAATCCCTGATCTATATATCAAAGTTTACTGATGCACTCTATAAATCAGCTTCAGAATCGACATTTTTGGAATGCTCTCTGGGTGATCCTTTCGTAGCCATCATTTCTAAAGGGTCAGAAACACCATAGGCAAATTTAAAATAGTTATAAATAGATATTTTGCCACTAAGGGCAGACTGTCCTCGTGACTGAATATGTAAGCATTATTATATTTGGTGTTTTTCTCACCAATCTTTTAGTCACTGTCTGATTCTAAGAGCTTTGAGAATATTATAAATTCCCGTCTCTTAAGTATTCTGCTCAACATTAAAAAATGCTTCAGAGTTGATGGTGGCAATCTACAAATGCATGTTTCTGAAATGTATTTACACACAACATTTAACAGTTGCACTACTGTCAGTTTTGAACACTTCCTAATTTTTCAAATCTCTGCTTAGGATCATGTATTATAAGAGCAGAAGTATAGCGCTGGCTGGCTACTCCGGGATAGCACCCAATAGATGTAGAATGGGCCATAGTTGAGTGAATACATGACTGTTCACCATCAGCATTTCTTATTGCTACAGTCTTATTCTGATTCCTATAGAAACACTTGAATTTTCTGTAAAATAACTAGAACTCCTCCATTCTGCCTATAAACATGTTTATTTTCAATCAGAATTCTAACTGTGCATGCATATGTGAGAACTGAAGTCTCAACAGGTTTCTAACTGACTTTTCTAGATTACACCAGTCTAAAGGTGAGGAGTAATGGGATCGCTTCAAGATTACAACTTTATTGTAGTAGGATTTTTATAGAAAATGGAACAAGAAACTTTGAATGATAGTAAACAGAGACATCATGCATCACATAATGTCTGTCAGGAAGGATTTTTATGAGCTCATGAGGTAATCGGTCTGCAATTGTAATTCTTAGAGCCAAACTTATATGTGCCCTTTGAGTGCTCAGAACTCTGCTTTTCCTGCTTTGTACTCTGGAACACAAGCAAAAATGCTCCTTAGAGATATGTAAATACCAATACAAGGAAAGAGAGTCACTGATACACAGTCAAAATCATCCCCCAAGGGCAAAATTCTAAGCTTGGAGAGATATCTCTATGTTGACTGCTACAATGTGAAAATGCATATGTGTGTTTTGAAATGAGAGCCAGAACTTTGTCTCATTGACACTGGAGTGATTTATCTAGTTACCATAGAGATGAATATAAACTCCAAGACAAATCTCTGTTATTCACATTTTAGAAAGTGGGCCCAGGACTCCCATGTGTTAAAATTGTACTGAAGCATTTGGTTTGCTTGTAATTATTACATTGACAGAGATTTGCTAGGTTTAAAGAACCTGCTGTCAATTTTAGAACAACAGAGGGTGGAATAATAAATGATATTTATGAGAAGAGCCAATAGTATCACTTTGATGATTTATTTATTTCTAAAAAGAATATAAAAGATGC
The DNA here is from genome assembly GCF_000001405.40 of Homo sapiens. Classification (NCBI taxonomy): domain Eukaryota; kingdom Metazoa; phylum Chordata; class Mammalia; order Primates; family Hominidae; genus Homo; species Homo sapiens. The sequence continues at coordinate 93,386 of NW_013171810.1, forward strand.
TTTAAGGTGTCATGTAAAGTTTTTAATTTTTTCATTATTTTTTTTTTTGAGACCAAGTGTCGCTTTGTCACCCAGGTTAGAGTGCAGTAGCACCATCTCGGCTCACTGCAACCTCCACCTCCCAGGTTCAAGCGATTCTCCAGCCTCAGCCTCCGGAGTAGCTGTGACTACAGACGTACGCCACCACATCCAGCTAATTTTTGTATTTTTAGTAGAGACGGGGTTTCACCATGTTGGCCAGGCTGGTCTTGAACTCCTGACACCAGGTGATCCACCCGCCTTTGCCTCCCAAAGCGCTGGTATTACAGGCGTGAGCCACTGCACCCAGCCAAATTTCTTAATTTTTATACTGACTTAAATTACTTTAAATGCATTATGTAATTTTGAGAAAATACTAATAAGAAATTGGACTAAAGAAAATGCTCCTCTGAGAAGCTACAAATATGAATGCAAATATTTACTTTTTTCTCCAAAAGATATCTTCATAAATTTGGACATTTTCTGCCTCAGTCCACTTGTGCTGGTATAAAAGAGTACCTGAGGCTGGGTGATTTACAAAGGAAAGAAGTTTATATGACTCACAATTCTTCAGGCTGTACAAGAAGCATGGCTCCAGCATCTGCTTCTGGTGAGGGCTTCAGGCTACTTTTGCTCATGGCAGAACATGAAGCAGAGCTGGGATGTCCAGCGATCACAAGGTGAGAGAGCAGAAGGAAGAGAGAGGGGAAAGAGGTGCCAGACTCTTTTAAACAACCAAATCTATGGGGGAACGAATAGAGTAAAAGTTCACTGATGACCATGAGGAAAACACCACGCCATTCGTGATGGATCCACCTCTGTGACCCAAACACCTGCCACTGGGCCCCACCTCCAAAACTGGGGATCTAATTTGACCATTTGGAGGCGTCACATATGTGAACCATAGCAACTTTGTATTGGTTTTTCTCATTCATTTCTCTACAAATAATTATCTAACGCTTAAGGTGTTTAGCATATGCTAGATACTTTAAAAAAATGTTTTAAATACATGGATTGATTTAATCCTCACAATAAGGAATTGTGAAATATGGTCTTAATACTCTGATTTTATACATATGGAACTGGGAAACAAAGAAGCTATATATGCTGGTCAAGATTACAGATTAAAGTACAAACTGTGTGCTGAATATAGTCAGTCTCACAAGTCTAAACGTGACAATAGCATGAGACTGCATCTCTAACGCTTAAGCACGTGGATTCTAGGAAACAGACTACTTAGAATCAACTATTGTAGTACTTCCAAAGATTTTAATATCTGTAATTCAAAACATCTTCTTAAAACCCTCTTAGGTATTAGAGCAATTAGGTAGGTTAATTGGCTATTTTAACATCACATAGCCAGTGAATTTTAGGACTAGTAAAATTAAGTACTTTAAATTCTAATCACACTTTCTACAGCAATAAAGAGTCTGACTCCATGTTTGATGTTTGACTGCTGGAAGCTATTTGGCCCCATTTCCATCTCTTTCCCTCTAGCACTTATCAGGGCAAGTTGATAAATAAGACCACAGGTCCCTCGGCACCACTGGAAATACAAGCCACATAATCCATAACCCAAAAGCTGGAACATGTTCACAAATCTACCCCCTACCAAGAAAAAGAACTCCAAGCCAACCCTCACCCACTTGCTCGAGTCATTCCAGACTGGCTTGTGTACCAGTCTTACATGCCCCAGGAAGTCTCTTTACTTGAATAATAAACCCTCTCAATGCACATTTGCATCAGTCTCAACATTCACACCAGATTTAGGTGAAGAGTTGATTTATGCCCCTACTGGAGTACCACAAATATCTACCAATATCCACATTTCAAGAGCTAATTATCAATCATTTTCATTATATAATTATGAAGTTAGCAGATACAGGTAATAGTTTGCCCAACTGGGTCAAGTATTCATTCATATTAGCAATGAAAATTTCACTTTTAACAAATAAATATATGATTCAATTTTAAGTACGCTACCATGTAGTCAAAAATTTAGGAATAGTCACTGATAATAAAACCACCCAATAATGTAAAATAAGGTAATTTTTAATCAGTTATGCAGTCCCTAAAAAAAAGTATTATTATATAATCCACCAATTTTACTTGAAATGATTGAAAGCAGGAACTCAGATATTGTATACCCATTTTTATAGCAATATTATTCACAATAGCCAAAAAGTGTGAGAAACTTAAATGTTCAACTTAACTGTATTTTGTTAGTGTAAGTATACAATGAAATATTATTCAGCCTTAAAAAGGAATGAAACTCTGATACATGCTATAATATAGATTAACCTTGAAGACATTATGCTATGTAAAATAAGCCACACATAGTAGGACAAATTTTATGTTATGAATATGTGACCACAATAAAAAGCAGTTAAAAAATTATCCCAATGCAACCAAGTCTACTGTTTTATTACATTTCAGTTTTTTTAAAAATATATACATATATATATGATTTTTTTAATGCCTTTGCATGTATTCTGAAACCTAAACACAACTTTCATTGCAAACAAACAGTAAGGATTGAGTGTCTTTGGCTCTAATACGGAGACTCTATTTCTAATAAAGCTTGTGAATAAAGAATATTCCCTTTACACTGATTGATAAAGGATTGCTGCCAGTACTGACTTTTCAGAAGAAATTAAGGTAACTATTTACTTTTTCTTATTTGCCTCCTCCCACAACATGATATAAGATGACAATAAAGGGCAAGACAAATAATTGCATGTTACAGTCAATATTAAATATTAGAATCTTTCTGCTATCTATATAGAATTTATGGTTTACAAAAAAAGTATTAAATATCCTAGGAATAAGAAGTATAATTTTCTTCCTGAATCTAATTTCTTTCTATTCTAATATAAGCCTTATAATCAATATATATTAACAAAGAAGGCAAAAAATGCTTTCTACTTATATACAAGAGATCAAATCTTATTAAATATCCACAAAACAATGCACATAAAAATCACGAAGTAAAAATAGATATTTCATTTCCTACATGCATACATGGTAAATAATGCACCCTTCTCATTAGAAAATATCTTGATATCAAAGAGAGCAGGGTGTTGGATACGAGATTAACTCCTCATTCTTTTATGGGATTATCATGGATCATTATACAGTTACAGAAATATAAACAAAACCAGCATGATTTGGGTGGATAGGCAAGGAAGATCCTGGGGTCACTAACGCTTTAAAGAGATGTAGCCACACCACAATAGTAAATTCTCCTACCATTTATCTCTGCAGGCATTCCAAATCAGCAGAAGTGATCATTTTAATGAGAAGGTTTTAGGTCGTCTTTGCAACCCAGCTGGCCGATTCCTTCCATATGTTCATTCCAATAGCTTTAACATCAGGGGAGAAAACCCTCTGGTAATCCTAACTTCCTTCAACTTCTTTCAGCAAACAGATGCTTGCAGAGCAAGAATAAGACATGTTTGTCTATTATGAACTCACAGAACCTGAAGCCTTTTCTCTTTTTTTTTATTTCTTTTCTTTTTTTTTTGAGAGATGGAGTCTCACTGTCTTGCTTAGGTTGGTCTCCAACTCCTTGCCTCAAGCAATCCTCCCGCCGCAGCGTCCCCACGTCCCACATGCCCAGGCTGCTTCTTAAATAAAACATTTCAAGAATGCAAACTCCTCTACTCTCTTTTTCAACAAATTCTCAATTAGTTGTCTGTGTTTCTATGCACTCTAAGAAGTTCATTTTGACTATGTATAATTATATTATGATAATATAGTAATACTATATTTCACTCGAACTGGGATAGAATTTTGCTCATGTGACATGTTTATTTTTTATGTGTGCTTTATTATGGCACGTTAGTACTTAATAGAGTATTGTGTAATCTGAAATCAAAGTAATTTTGCTTATGTAACTGAATAATCTGTTTTTTGTCTTCTCCAATATCCTAGGGTTTTAATGCCTCATTGGAAAACTGGCACCTTTACATTCTGGAAAAAAAAAAAAAAAACTCTTTTAATGATTCATAAGCATTTAGTCAGAAGAACTTAAAGAGCATTTTATTTTTTAATAGCTTTCCCATGTGTCCAAGAGTTATTCTAAGGTTGTCCCAGAAACATTATATGTTCATAACTATGGAAGCCAGAGTAGCTTCAAAGATTTTGTGTTTTTTTTAACACCAAACTAGATAATTGCTTTTAAACAAAAAGTATGCTTTGCAAGGAAGAGACATCTATTTTGACAGTTTCTCAAAATTGATTGCTTCTTTTCTTACTAATAAAAGAAATTACATAAATCATCAGTTAATCAGGATGGTCAAAATCAAATTTTCAGACACTTCTTGTTTCAATATGAATTGTCCAAAACTTATACCATCACCATATTTAGACTAGGAAATAAAATGAGATTGGTGTGGTATAAGGAACACTGAGTTCTAGCATCATGTTTATTAATGCTTTAATGAACTTGTGTAAGAAATTTAATCGCTATATGCTTGTTAATACATAAGAAATGGGAATCATAATCAATATATCAAATACTTTTGAGGGTGTCTGTGTGATGTAGAATTGCAGATTAGAAAAGAGTGCTAGTTCTTTAGCCCCTTCTCTGTACCTTTCGCATTGCATGTTCCCCTCAGATGTATTGGCCCATACCTGTCTCTCAAACCCTTACCAAAGAGCCCTGCAAACTGCTCCTGTCTCCTGCCACTACTTCAGAATTCATATAAAGTTGCTGAAAGGGCAGGGACATGCAACCCAGATAAGAGGGAGTTAACTCCCTATGAGCATACTTGAATCAATGGCATATGGGAAATCAGAGGAACTAGTAGACAAAAATCTATTTCACTTCTCCTCTTCAATAGATTCTTCCAGTCCTGCATTTTCTGCAAGGCCTCTGTAGAGATGTCTCAAGTGTCTGAGTGACTGCTTGACTCTCCTCATGAGCAATAGTAAGCTTAATAATGCATCATCTTGCTGGGGGAAAAAAGATTATTACTCATGAACTTTTAAAAGTAAAGTTCTCTAAGTGGTACCATAGGAGATGTTCAGAATGACCAGGGATACATGGTATCCCTAGTTTAGCACCTGCCCTAGTACAGGGACATTCAGGAATGTTTGTAGGAGGATGTTTTAAATGAGACTTGTCTACTATTTAGGAATTGTCTTGGGTAAAGAAAAGTCCATTAGAGACATCATCATATTTAAGGATCCCCACAAGCAGAAGAGGGTATGGCAGGAGAACATGAGAGATTATGAGGGGGAGGTATATATCATTTTGTGTTAAAAAGCCAAACTACGATAACAAAAAATAATAAAGTATTTTTAAGTATTTATTTTGATATAATTACTTTAACATAAAACATGAATTTTTAGCATATTTTCAATTAAGATAATATTTTAATGTCCTTTTTTTGAACTTGCACTGGATGTTCTATTTTTTGTATTTTTATTTCTCCTTTGTTTTATTTGCAACCTTGGGCTTAACTATAAAATTATGGCTCACACTTTTAACACATTTTCTTTGCCATAAAGCAAGCCTCTGAAGGGATATACTTTATGCATTACAGCAAATGATATTTTTTAATAGGCACCACTTATTTTATGCAGATTAAAATACATTGCAATTTTTAAATGGCAATCAAGTAAAAATATCTTTCCTCATAGATTTTTGTGTCTCATTCACTTCGCTCAGTTTTCATAGTGCTAATCCAAAGGAAGATCCTTCTTTTATTTTTCTACTTAGAAGTCTTAATATAGAATTAAGAGCAAGACCTAAAAGATGTGTCTGATCCATTACAAGTCCATGTGAACTAGTTTTGTTTTGGCTAATCATTTAAACCAATAGAAAACAATTTTTAGAAGTTGTTTAACCTGCTTTTGCTCACTATGTTAGTGTCTATAAAGAAAATGATAACATTCAGTTCTCAAGTACAGGGAGAATTCAAGATGGCTGACTGGAGGTGCCTGGCACTTGCCTTCTCCACAAACAAGGACCAAAACAGTGAACAGATAACAATATGTCAAATAAAGCATCTAAGGCAGAACCATGGAATTCAGCAAGGAAGTGACAGGGCACCTCTGAGGCATAAAAAAAGAGTGAACTGAGACAGTCTACCTGGCCAATATCAACTTGGAGCCAGAAGGAATGCCCCATTATGGGGAAAAGGTAAGGAAGAGATCTCAATAGGTCCACATTCCCACCATGACTCCTGCAATCCTAGCTACAGGAGAGCCCCTTGACCTTCAGGGGCCTTAAACTAGAATAGAGAGCTTCTTGGAATCCAAACAATGACATTGTTCCAGAGACAATATTCACGCTGTATCCCACACACTGCCTGAGACCAAAGCAACTGTAGCACTTTGCTATTTTGAGAGTCAATCCCCCACTAGACATCCTTCCCTGGAGCCCCAAAGCCCCTGCATCTCCACATCCCTAAGGCCCCACTAATATTTCCACCTCCAGGTCAACCAAGAGGGATATAGCACCGTCATACCGCGGGACCCCTTGGTATGATTGGGTCCCAAGTACTCTAGACAACACAGTGTCCTACACTGGAAGGAATGAGTGGAGCAACTCAGCAGGGAAGCAATCCCTGGAAAAAGGTAGCCAGGGCACATGCTTCTCAGAGACTGAGAGCCATCTGCTTGGGGCTGCTGCCACTAACAGAAACCCTGCCCCTTCAGCAGCAGGATTACTGCACACTTGCACCAGCCTTCAGATGGCTTTGTCACTAGCATTCCCACAAACCATCCCAAAGCCTGAGGACCATCCTGCTATGCCCAATGTCACTGCCACTGCCACTCCCACCAGCATCCAAACACACTGCCCAAGGATCTGGAGACTGACCTGCTCCACCTGTTCCCATCAGCACCTGCATGCACCATTTTGGGATCTGAGGACAGGCTCATGCTTAATACTGCTGCCAACATCATCACTTGCACACATCATTCAGGGATACAGAGATTAACTTGCACTGGCCATCACTGTTGGCACCTGTGCATGTCATCTGGGAACTTGGGGCACCCAGCCCACCACCACCAGTGAACACACAAACCATCCAGGAGACCAACATGCCCACTACTGGCACTCACACAGGCCTTCTGAGGCCTCAGGGATGAGCCCACTCAGCCTGCTGCCAATGGCACCCACCCATGTGCACCTGAGGGTTGGTCTGCTGCTTCTAATGTCACTGCTAATGCCACACATGCCACCTGAAGGCCTGAGCATCCCCCTTCCCAGCCCATTGCTGATACTGCTATTGCCCAAGCATACCACCTAGAGACTCAAATATTGACTTGCCTAAACCTGTCAATGATGATGCCCACCTATACCATCCGGGTGCCTGAGGACTGGGACACCCAGTTCACTGCACCACCACTGGTGCCCAAGAACTGGCCTACCAGGCTTCCTCATCCCCAAGAAAGCCTCAACAGTGTCCACTAAAATCTGCAGCCTAAGCTCATGAAGATCTCACAGATACTACTGAAATTGATTACAGATGAAGAAATCATATAAAGACTACACTACTGTATCCACCCAGAATCAAAGTCAAAGTGCTCTAATCAAGCAACAATGGAAACATAGATACAGAAAAACATCTTTCCCTATGAAAGCCAGTCTGTATAATTACAATAAGCAACTGTTATACCATATGTGTAGATATCAGTTTAAGGACACATGAAATGGGGAAAAAAATAAAATAAAAGACACCTCTAAAGCAACACAATAATTCTCCAAGGACAGAATAGAAAAAAAAAGGAAATCTGTGAAATGTCTGAAAAATAATTCAAAATTACGAAATTAAAGAAACTCAGTGAGATACAAAATAACACAGATAAAGAAAACAATGCATGATCTAAATGAGAAATTCAACAAAAGATGATAAATAACTATAAAAAAGAACCAATCAGAAATCCTGAAATTGAAGAATTCAATGAATAAAATGAAAATTACAACCAAGAGGTTTGACAACGGATGAGATTAAGCAAAATAAAGAATTTCTAACCTTAAAGATAGGCCATTCAATATAACTCACTCTGATTAAAAATAAAAGTAAAGAAAATTTATGTGACATAAACACCATTAGCAAAAAAAAAAAAAAAATGAATTTAGACATTTCCAGAAGGAGAAGAGATGTGCAAAGGCATAGAAAACCTATTTAACAAAATAAGAGTTGAAATATTTTCAAGTCTTTCAAGAGACTTGGACATACAGATATAGAAAGCTTAAGAATCTTCAAATAGATCCAGTCCCCAAAATATCTTTTCCAAGGTACATTATAGTTAAACTGTAAAAAGTAAAAGACAAAGAGAGAATTCTAAAAACAACCAAATGAAAAGCATCCAGTTACCTATAAAGAAACTATCATCAGAATAAGAACAATTTCTCAGAAGAAACCTTACAGACCAGGAAAGAATGGGTATTATATTTAAAGAGCTAAAAGAAAAAACAACTGGTAGATAAGAAAACAAATACAAAAAATCAACAAAGAAATATCAGATATACTCTGCTCCACAAGCCAAATGAAATTAACAGATACTTACAAAACATTTCATCCAAGAACTGCAGAGTATACATACGTCTCATCAGCACAAAGAATATTATACAGGATGAGCCATATTTTAGGCCACATAACAAGTTTCAACAAATTTTCAAAAAGTCAAATTTGTATTAAGTATCTTCTTAGATTACCACAGGAAAAAAACTGGAAATATATAACAAGAGAAGCTTTATACATGTACAGATATATGGAAATTAAAGAATGTGGTCCTGGATGATCATTGAATCAATAAAGAATTTGAAAAGAAAATAATTTTTTGAAATAAATAAAAATGGAAACATAGAGGACTTACCTCAATCTATGGAATACAGCAAAAGCAGTGCTCAGAAGGAAGTTTATAGCAATAGACACTTACATAAAAAAGCAGAAATAGTTCAAATAAACAACCTAATTATGCACCTTAAGAAACTAGAAAAACAAGAAGAAATCAAACACAAAATTAGTAAAAGTAAAGAATACAGATCAAAGCAGAACTAAGGAAAATAGAGGCTAAAAACACACAAAAAATGAAGCTTAATGAAAAACTTATTGTTTGTTTGAAAAGATAAACAAAACATAATCAGTAAAATAACCAAAAAAAGAGAGAGCAAAACACTCACATAAATACAATCAAAAATGAAAAGAAGATATTACAACTGATACTACAGAAATAAAAAGAGTCACTAGAGAATATTATGGAAAACCCTATGCTAAAAAATTGGAAAACAGAAACGGATAAATTTCTGGGCATATACAACGTACCAAGGTGGAATAAGGAAGGAATAGGAAACCTAAACAACACGATAATGAGTAATGAGATTTAAATCAATCATAAGAAGTCTTCCACCAAAAGAAAGCTCAAAATTAGATATCTTCACTGCTAAATTCAGAAAAACTTTTTGAATAACTAGTATTCATATTCTCAACCTGAAGGATATGAAAAAGTTGAAGTGAAGGAAATTCTTCCAAACTTATTCTCTGAGGCCAATGTTACCTTGATACCAAAACTAGCCAAGGACACAATAAAAGAAAACTATAGGCTAATATTCTTGCTTAATACAGGTGCAAAAATCCTCAACAAAATACTAGTAAACTGAATCCAACACCACATTAAAAACATATGAGAGGCTGAAGTGAGAGGATTGTTTGAGCCTGGGAGATTGAGGTTGCTTTGAGCCATGATCACACCACTGTACTCCAACCCGGGTGACAGAGTGAGACCCTGTCTCAAAAATAATTAATTAAAAGACAATATAGCATGATTAAGTGGGATGTGTACCAGAGATACAGGATGATTTAACATACGCAAATCAATAAATGTGATACATCACATTAACAGAATGAAGCACAAAACCATTTGATCATCTCAATAGAAACAGAAAAAGCAATTGGTAATATTCAACATCTCTTCATGATAAAAACTCTCAACAACTTAAGCATAGAAGGAACATACCTCAACATAATAAGGCCATATATGACACATCCACAGACTGAATTGGAAAAAGCTGACTGCCTTTTCTCTAAAAAGTAGAATAAGACAAAAAATATGCATTTTTTACCACTTTTATTTCAACATAGCACTGGAAGTCTTACTCAAAGCAATCATACAAGAGGAAGAAATAAAACTAATCTAAATTGGAAGACAGGAAATCTCCTTTTGCAGATGACATGACCTTATATATGGAAAAACCTACAGATATCACAACCAACAAAAACGTTTTACAACTGATAAACGAATACAGTAAAGTTGCAAGATACAAAATCAACGTACAAATACGAGTAGTGTTTCTATATACCAATAGCAAACTAGCTAAAAAAATCAAGAAAGTAACATCAGTTACAATACACACACACACACACACACACACTCACACTAAAATACTGAGAAATAAATTTAACTGAAGAGGTTAAAGACTTCTTAAAATTAGGCAGCACCGATGGAAGAAATTCAAGAGGACACAAACAAATGGAATAAGAGCCAATGATCTTGGATTCAAAGTATTATTACAGTTAAAATGATGCATAACCCAAAGTAATCTGCAAATTCAATGCAATCTGTGTCAAAATAATAATTATATTAATCACAGAAATAGAAAAACAAGCCTAAAATCTGTTTGGAACCAGAAAAGAATTCTAATAGCCAAAATGATACTGAGCAAAAGAAAAAAAGCTGGATGCACCACACTACCTGACTTCGACTCATGTTCTCAAGCTAGGGTAACCAAAACAGTATGGTATTGGCATAAAAACAGACAACTACATGAATGGAACAGAATACAGAATACAGAAGTACATCCATGTATGTATGTATGTATGTATGTATGTATGTATGTATTTTATTTCTATGGGTTTTGGGGAAACAGGTGGTGTTTGGTTACATGAATAAGTTGTTTATTGATGATTTCTGAGATTTCGGTGCACCCATCACCGGAGCAGCATACACTGTACCCAATGTGTAGTCTTTTATCCATCACTCCCCTCCCACACTTCCTCACAAGACCCCAAAGTCTATTGTATAATTCTTATGCCTTTGCATCCTCAGAGCTTAGCTCCCACTTATAAGTGACAACATACAATGTTTGGTTTTTCATTCCTGAGTTACTTCACTTAGTATAATAGTCTCCAATTGAATCCAGGTTGCTGTGAATGTTATGATTTCATAACAGTCATGATTTATATATATATATATATATATAGAGAGAGAGAGAGAGAGAGAGAGAGAGAGAGAGAGAGAGGGAATTTTCTTTATCCCATCATTGATTTATGGGTATTTGGACTGGTTCCATATTTTTGCAATTGCGAATTATGCAGCTATAAACATATATGCACAAGTGTCTTTTTCATATAATGACTTCTTTCCCTCTGGGGAGATACTCAAGAGTGGGATTGCTGGATCCCACTCTTTTTGTGATATAAACTTAAAGTATAGTTTGAAGGTGGGTAATGTGATGCCTCCAGATTTGTTCTTTTTGCTTAGTTTTGCCTTGGCTATCCGGGCTCTTTTTTTGTTCCATATGAATTTTAGCATTGTTTTTTCTACTTCCATGAAGAATGATAGTGGTATTTTGATGGGAATTGTATTAAATTTATAGATTGCTTTTGGCAGTATAGTCATTTTCACAATATTAATTCTACCCATCCAGGAGCATGGGATGTTTTTCCATTTTTTTGTGTCATCTATGATTTCTTTCAGCAGTGTTTTGTAGTTTTCTTTGCAGAAGTCTTTCACCTCCTTGGTTAGGTATATATCTTTTTTTTTTTTTCCAGCTATTGTAAACGAGGTTGAGTTCTTGATTTGATTCTCTGTTTGGTCACTCTTGGTGTATAGCCAAGCTACTGATTTGTGTATATTGACTTTGTATTTTGAAGCATTATGAATTTATTTATCTGATTTGGGAGCTTTTTGAATGAATCTTTAGGGTTTTCTGCGCTTACAATCATAACAGTGAACAGTGAGAGTGCGACTTTCTCTTTACCAAATTTGTATGCCCTACATTTATTTCTCTTGTCTGATTTGCTCTGGCTAGGACTTCCAGTACTATATTGAACAGACATGGTGAAAGTGGAAATCTTTGTTTTCTTCCAGTTCTGAAGAGGAATGCTTTCAACTTTTCCCTACTCAGGATAATGTTGGCTGTGGGTTTGTCATAGATGGCTTTTATTACCTTGATGTATGTCCATTATATGCCAGTTTTGCTGAGGGTTTTAATCATAAAGCGATGCTGGATTTTGTCAACTACTTTTTATGCATCTATTTGGATTATCATGTGATTTTTGTTTATCACATTTATTGACTTGCGTATGTTAAACCACCCCTGCATCCCTGGAATGAAACCCACTTGATCATGGTGGATTATCTTTTTGATATGTTGTTGGATTCAGTTATCTAGTGTTTTGTTAAGGATTTTAGCATCTATGTTCATCAGGGATATCAATCTGTAGTTTTCTTTTTTTGTTATGTCCTTTCCTGGTTTTCATGTTGGGGTGATACTGCTTCATAGAATGATTTAGAAAGGAAGTCCTCTTTCTCTGTCTTTTGGAATAGTTCAATAGGATTGGTACCAATTCTTCTTTGAGTGTGTGATAGAATTCAGCTGTGAATCTATCTGGTCCTGGACTTTTTTTTTTGTTGGCAAGTTTTTTATTACCATTTTAATCTCACATTTATTGGTCTGTTCAGAGTTTCTATTTCTTCGTGGTTTAATCTAGGAGAGTTGTGTATATCCAGGAATTTATCTATCTCCTCTATGTTTTCTAGTTTGTGCATATAAAGGTGTTCACATTAGCCTTGAATTTTCTTATTATCTTTTGTACTTCTGTTGTGTCATTTGTAATATCTCCCATTTCATTTTTTTTCCTCTCTCTCTCTCTTTTTTTAGACAGAGCCTCACTGTCACACAGGTTGGAGTGCAGTGGCATGATCTTGGCTCACTGCAACCTCCGCCTCCCGGGTTCAAGTGATTCTCCTGCCTCAGCCTCCTGAGTAGCTAGGACTACAGGTGTGTGCCACCATGCGAGGCTAATTTTTGTATTTTTAGTAGATACGGCGTTTTACTATGCGGCCAGGCTGCTCTCAAACTCCTGACCTCGTGATCCACGTGACTCGGCCTCCTAAAGTGCTAGGATTACAGGGGTGAGCCACCGCACCTGGCCCTTTTTTTTTTTTTTTTTTTTTAGACATAGTTTTACTCTGTAGCCCAAGCTGGAGTGCAGTGGAACAATCTCAGCTCACTGCAACCTCCACCTCTTAGGTTCAAGCGATTCTTGTTTCTCAGCCTGCCAAGTAGCTAGGATTACAGGTGCATGACACCATACCTGGCTAATTTTTGTATTTTTAGTAGAGATGGAGTTTCACCATGTTGGCCAGGCTGGTCTCAAACTCCTGACCTCAAGGGATCTGCCCGCTTTTGCCTTCCAATGTGCTGGGATTACAGTTGTAATCGGCCTCCCGTTTCATTTCTAATTGAGCTTATTTGGATCTTCTCTCTTCTTTTCTTGGTTAATCTCACTAATGGTCTATCAGTTTGTTTGTCTTTTCAAAGAACCAGCTTTTTGCTTCATTTATCTTTTGTATTTTTTTTGGTTGTTTCCATTTCATTTAGTTCTGCTCTGATCTTTGTTATTTCTTGCGTTCTGCTGGGTTTGGGTTTGGTTTGTTCTTGTTTTTTTAGTTCCTTTAGGTATAAGCTTAGATTATTTATTTTTGTTTTTTTACACTTTATGATGTAGGCTTTTAATGCTAGGAACTTTCCTCTTAGCATCACTTTTGCTGTACCTCAGAGGGTTTGATAAGTTGTGTCACTATTATTCAGTTCATAGAATTTTTAAATTTCCAACTTGATTTCCTTGTTGACCCAATTCTCATTCAGAAGCAAATTATTTAATTTCCATGTATTTGTATGGTTTTGAGAGTTCCTTTTGGAGTTGATTTCCAATTTTATTCCACTGTGTACTGAGAGAGTACTTGATATTATTTCAATTTTTTTATATTTATTGAGACTTGTTTTGTGAACTGTCATATGGTCTATCTTGGAGAATGTTCTCTGTTCATACTAGAATGTATATTCTGCAGTTTTTGGGTAGAATTTTCTGTAAGTATCGGCTCATTACATTTGTTCTAGAATATATTTTAAGTCCATGGTTTCTTTGCTGACTTTCTGTCTTGATCTGTCTAGTGTTGACAGTGGAGTATTGAAGTCCCCTAATATTATTGTGTTGCTGTCTGTCTCATTTCTTAGGTCTAGTAGCATTAGCTTTATAAATTTGGGAGCTCCAGTAGGTGCATATATATTTAGAATTTTGATATTTTCCTGTTTGTGTAGTCCTCTTATCATTATATAATGTTCCTCTTTGTCTTTTGTAACTGTTGTTGCTTAAAAGTCCATTTTGTCTGATATCTAAATAGCTAATCCTGCTGGCTTTTGGTGTCCATTTGCATGGAATACCTTTTTCACCCCTTTATCTTAAGTTATTGTGAGTTCTTATGTGTTAGATGAGTCACTTAAAGACACCAGATACAGGGTTGGCGAATTCTTATCCTTTCTGACATTCTGTATCTTTTAAGTGTAGTATTCCGGCCATTTACATTCAACATTAGTATTGAGATGTGAGCTACTAGTAATTCTATTTATCATGTTAGTTGTTGCCTGAATACCTTGTATGTGTTTTTGTTTTATTTGTTGTGTTATTGTTTTATAGGCCCTGTGAGATTTATGCTTTAAGGGGGTTCTATTTTGGTGTATTTTGAGGTTTTATTTTAAGATTTGAAACTCTTTTTAGCAGTTTTTATAGTGCTGTCTTGGTAGTGGTAAATTCTCTCAGCATTAATTTGTCTGAAAAAGATTGTATCTTTCCTTTATTTATGAAACTTAGTTTTGCTACATACGAAATTCTTGGCTAATAATTGTTTTGTTTAAGGAAGCTAAAGATAGGACTCCAATCTCTTCTAGCTTGTAGGGTTTGAGAAATCTGCTGTTAATCTGATAGGTTTTCCTTTATAGGTTACCTGATGCTTTTGCCTCACAGCTCACAGCTCTTAAGCTCACAGTTTAAGAGCCTCATAGCTCTTAAGGTTCTTTCCTTCATCTTGCCTTTAGATAACATGATGACTACCTGCCTAGGTGATGATCCTTTTGTGGTTAAATTCCCTGGGTGTTCTTTGTGCTTCTTATGTTTGAATGTCTAGTTCTCTAGCAAGGCATGGAAATGTTCTTTGATTATTTTATACAATAAGTTTTCCAAACTTTTAGATTTATCTTCTACCCCAAGAACACTAATTGTTTTTGGGTTTGGTCATTTAACATAATTCCAAACTTCTTGGAGGCTTTTTTCATTTTTTAAATTCTTTTTCCTTTGTCTTTGTTGGATTGGGTTAATTTAAAAGCCTTGTCTTTGAGCTCTGAAGTTCTTTCTTCTACTTGTCTGATTGTATTGTTGAAACTTTCCAGTGTACTTTGCATTTCTCTAAGTGTGTCTTTCATTTCCAGAAGTTGTGATTGTTTCTCTGGAGATTTTTTGTCCATATCCTGTTTTTTTTTGTTTTTTTTAATTTATTTAAGTTGTTTTTCACCTTTCTCTGGTGCCTCTTTGAGTAGCTTAATAATTGACCTTCTGAATTCTTTTTCTGGCAATTCAGAGATTTCCTCTTGGTTTGGATCTATTGCTGGTGAACTATTGTGATCTTGGGGGTGTTAAATAATCTTGTTTTCTCATATCACCAGAATTGTTTTTCTAGTTTCTTCTCAATTGGATAGATTATGTCAGAGGGAAGATCTGGGGTTCAATGGCTGCTGTTCAGATTGTCTCATGGGATACCCGCTTAATGTGGTGCTCTCTCCCTACCCATAGGGATGGGGGCTTCCTGAGAGCTAGACTGCAGTGATTCTTATTGCTCTCCAGTCTAGCCACCCAGCAGAGCTAGCAGGCTCTGGGCTAGTACTGGGGAGTGTCTGCAAAGAGTCCTGTGTTGTGAATCTGTCTTCAGGTCTCTCAGCCAGGGATACCAGCACCTATTCTGGTGAAGGTGGCAGGGGATTGAAGTGGACTCTGTGAGGGTCTTTGGTTGTAGTTTTGTTTAGCGTACTGGTTTTCTTGAATGCTAATTGTACTAGCAGTAAAGTTGTCATGTGAACAGACTCAGAACCTCTGGTTAGCCAGGATGTCACAGGTGGCGGAATTAGCTGGTATTTTCTCCTTTCTTGAAGCAGGGTTGTTCTCTTATGAGTTGCTGTAATGGCTTAAGTTGGTTGGCCTCCAGCCAGGAGGTGGTGCTTTAAAGAGAGTATCAGTTGTGGTAGTATAGGGGTGATACAAGCTTACCCTAAGGTCACTTGGATAAGTATTCGGTTTTCTCAGGTGATGGTTGGGGCCACAGAGCTCCCAAGAGATTAAGTGTTTTTTCTTTGGCTACCAAGATGGGTAAAGAAAGACCAGCAGGCAGGGACAAGATTATGCATGTCTGAGCTCAGACTCTTCTTGGGCAAGACTTGTTGTGGCTGCTGTGCAGGATGAAGGTGAGGTTCTCAGGCCAATGGAGTTATGTTCCCAGGGGGGTTATGGATGCTGCTTCTGTGTCATACAGGGTGCCAGGGAAGTGAGGAAAAGCTGGCAGTGACAGGCTTCACCCAACTCCCACACAGCCACCAAGGCCAGTCTCACTCCCACCACGCCCCACCAACAGCACCAAATTTATATTCAGGAAGACTGTGAGCTGGGCTGAGATCTTGCCTCAGGCTACAAGCTTCCCTGATGAGAAAGTAAGCAAGGCTTTCAGGCCTTGCCCCTCCTCACCTGCCTCAGCTTCTGTGCTCATATCTGCACCTCTCGTTTGCCTCCCCTTACCCCCAGATTCTGCCCAGGAAAATTTGTGCTTGATCAAAATTATTGCAAATCTCAGCTGGAAGTTTCTTTCTCCCTGCGGTCTTTTCCCAATTCTGATGGCAGCCCTCCCCAAGGACCACTATGAGATAAAATAGTTTCCTTGGGGACTGGAAGTGCCTATGAGGCTCTTTTTGCTGCTTCTTTTACTTTTATATTTTGCTCAGCCCTCTAAATTCATTTCAGCTCTAAGTAAGGTTAACTCCTTTTCTGTGACATGGATTTTCAGGTTCCTCAGTGAGGATGTATGTTCAGAGGAGGACATGCCTCCTCTCACACTTTGGGCGCTCACAGATTATTGGCTATCTCACCGAGTTTGCAGTGGCAAACCGTTCTTTCAAAGGCTCTGTGAATTCTTTTCTTTTTCTTGGTATGTTTCTGTGGTAGTTCTTGGAGCAAAAGTTCATAATGTGTCTCTACATGCCATTTTTTCCAACCAAGTGGGAGCTGCAAATTAGTCCTGCCTTTTATCTGCCATTTTTCCCCTCAATTCCTAAATCCATGTATTTATAGCCAAATAATTTTTAACAAATCTGTCAAGAACATACATTGCTCAAAGGACATCCTCTTCAAAAATAGTGCTGGGAAAATTAGATATCCATATGCAGAAGAGTGAAACTAGTCACCTCTCCCAATATATGAAAATCAGCTCAAAATGGATAAAAAAATTAAACAAGAGACCTAGACCTTCTACTAGAAGAAAAGATAAGGAAAACACTTCAGGACAAGGTAAAGATTTTATGGCTAAGTCTTCAAAAGCACAGGCAACAAAAATAGGAATATACAAACGAGACAATAGTAAACTAAAACATTTCTGCACAACATAGAAAACAATCAACAAAGTGAAGAGACAACCTGTTGAATGTGAAAAAATATTTGCAAACTACTCATTTGTCTGACAAGAAACTAATATCCAGAATATACAAAGAACTCATACAACTCAGCAACAATAGAAATTCAAGTGATTCTATTAGAAAGTGGGCAAATGGTCTGAATAGATTTCTCAAAAGATGACATACAGATTACCAAGAGGTATATTTAAAAATGGTCAATAGCACTAATCATCAGGTAAATACAAATCAAAACCAAAATGAGATACCGTCTCACCCCAATTAAAATATCTATCATCCAAAGGACACAAAAAAATAGAACTACCATACAATTCAGCAATGTCACTATGAAGTACTTATCTGAAAAAAAAAAAAAAAAAAGGATTCAGTATATCAAAGGGATACCAATACCCTTATGTTTATTGCAGCACTATTCACAATAGCCAAAATATGGATGCAGTGCAAATGTCCATCCATGGATGAATAAATGAAAAACATGGTATATCTACACAATGAAACACTATTTACCCATAAAAATGATTCTGTCATTTGCAGCAACATGGATGGAACTGGAAGTCATCAAGTGAAATAAGTCAGGCACAGAAAAATAAATGCTGCAATGTCTCACTCATATGCAAGAGCTAAAAGAGTTAATCTCATGAAGGAGAAAGATAATCATCAGAATCTGAAAAAGGAGGTAGGGGATGAAAAGAGGTTGATTGAAAACAGATAGTTAAGTAGAAAGAGTAGGTTCCAGTGTTTGGTATCACATTAGAGTGACTATAGTCACAAAAATTGATTGTATATTTCAAAATAGTTAGAATAAAAAATCTGAAATGTTCCCAACGCAGAAAATGTTCAGTGTTAGAAGAGATGGATATCCTACATACCATGACTTGATAATTATATATTGTATGCATGTATCAAAATATCAAATCTATAATTATCTATCAATAAAATAATTTTAGAAAGGAAGAAAAATGCAAAAAATATAAGGCTCATGTACTACTACAAGTTAGCTTCCTCACAATCAAAATAAATCACGTTATATATTATTCACTAACCTTATGTAATATTAGATTAAATGTGGGCATTAAGGTTACTGTAGTCCTATTAGAATATGGTCATTAAGCATCTTTATGGTCAAACTGTGAAGCAAAGTCATTTATTTGTTCCCCTCTTCCATATATATATATGTATATATATATGTATATGTATATATGTATATATATATGTATACATATATATGTATATATGTATATATGTGTATATATGTATATATATGTGTATATATGTATATATATGTGTGTATATATGTGTATATGTATATAAACTTTATATACTAATTAATAAAACAAATAGGAATGCAAAAAGTGAGTGAATTTTCTATTATTTTAGAATTGGCTATTGTCCAGATTTGGAATTCTCCTCTGCTTCATTTTAAAATAATTTTAACCATTTTATTTTAAAGAAATTTATGAACTCTGCCTCAAAACAGCTGGTGAAATGATCTAAACCTTAAATAGGACGCCTCTAAATGGATATATCTTAAATGCAATTGGCTTGAAGAGTGATGTTGTTATTTGTTATCATTATGAACATCGTTTATTTCTAGACATGGTCAGCCATGCACCACTTTCAGTTATATTAGAAATAGAGGGAAGATAAGAATAGAAATAAAAAAGTCAAGATCCAGTCACAGTTGTATATTAAAGAGTCAAATCCAAAGACAGACTTTTAAGACGGAGGATGGAGTTCTTAATCTGAGCAATGACCACCATTTTCATTGCACAAAAATCTGAACAGAGAAGACAGGCAGTTGATGAGTGCAGTTTTTTTCTGGAAATTGTGTAATTGAGACTTCATATCTACCCTTTCCCCACATATTCACATATCTACCACTAAAGAAGGTAGATTAGGCATAACAAAGCCATATTTTTTAGGAAAAATAAGGTAAGAGCCACACTGACTGTTGTGAGATGGTATCTTATTGTGGTTTTGATTCACTTTTCTGTAATAATCAGTGATGTTGAGCTTTTCTTCATGTGATTGTTGGCCATATGCATGTCTTCTTCTGAAAAGTGTCTGTTCATGTCCTTTGCTCACTGTTTTTATTGGGTTGTTATTTTTCTTGTAAATTTGTGTAAGTTCCTTAAAGATGCTGGATATTAGAAAAGCCAGATTGGCTATTAATAAAAAGTCAAAAAATAACAGATGCTGATGAAGTTGTGGAGAAAAGGGAACACTGTTTCTTTTTTTTTTCAAGGCAGAGTCTTCCTCTGTCGTCCAGGCTGGAGTGCAGTGGTGTGATCTCGGCTCACTGCAGCCTTAACCTCCTGGGTTCAAGAAATTCTCCTTCCTCAGCCTCCTGAGTAGCTGGGATTACAGGAGCCTGCCACCATGCCTGGCTAATTTTTGTATTTTTAGTAGAGATGGGGTTAGTTGAGACAGCTGAAAAAGGAACACTTATACACTGTTGGTGGGAGTGTAAATGAATTTAGCCATCATGGAAGAGAGTGGGGCGATTCCTCAAAGATCTAAAGACAGAGCTACCATTTGACCCAGCAATCTCATTATTTCATATATATGGAAAGGAATATAAACATGTGTGTTCATTGAAACACTATTCACAAGAGGAAAGACATGGAATCAATCTAAATGAGCATCAATGATAGACTGAATAAAGAAAATGCAGTACATATACACCATGGAATACTATGCAGCCATAAAAAAGAACAAGATTATGTCCTTTGCAGAAACGTGAATGGAGCTGGAGGCCATCTCCTTTTGCAAACTAACACAGAAACAGAAAACAAAATACCACATGTTCTCACTTATAAGTGGGAGCTAAATAATGGAACACATGGATACATAGAGAGGAACCACAGATATTGGGGCCTATCAGAGGGTGGAGGTTGGGAGTGGAGATGACTGTAACTCATCCGGCCATGCTCTTGTGAGACTAAAAGCCTCCTGGAAATTCCAAGCGCTCCATGTACCACTATAGGCCCTAGCCAAAACCATCTGTGGTCACATGCACATCTAGTTTAAATGGGCACCCCTGGGCTTGTGCCTGCTGAATAGCCTGCTTTTAGTCCCAACTGTGAAAGGGAGCTGAGCTCCTGTGTTTATTAAGAAAGAAGCAGTTAGTAACTGCATATGCTGCCCTTCAGCCTTACAAGAGTGTGACAGGATGAGTTACAGTCATCTTGCAGCTGACGTGCCCAATACTGGGGTGGGCCATTCGTGAGTAATGACCCCCCAGAGTGGAAAGGCACAGACATCCACCTTGCAAAGTGGGGTGCCTATTTAGAACAGTGGAGTATGCTGAGTACAAGTCCCATAGCAGCAGAGTTATAAGAGGGCTTGGGACCTGTAGTCCTAATGCAAGATAAGGCCATGGGGCCTAATGCCATGAGGCCTGAGGCACCCCTAGAGCCTGAGCCATCACCATTTAAGGAAGAGCATCCCCCCTTTCCTAATGGGGCATGGTACACAAATGGGTCTAGCTAGAATGCTACTGCTGTCTGGACTGCTGTTGCCGTTCAACTTAATACTGACACCATATGGTTTGAAACCAGGTGTAGACAGAGGAGCTAATAAGCTAAACTCAGGGCAGTGTAAATGGTAATCACCAAAGAGGTAATCTGCACCAATATGGTAATCTGCACTGACTGCTGGACACTTTATTGAAGCTAATGTATGTCACAGGCCTGTGTGCACAGAACCTATGTATAAGGCCTGTGTCAAGCCTATACCTATGTATCTGGCCTGTGTGTGTGTATGTATCATGCCAGGCTTATGTGTATGTATCAGGCCAGGCTTATGTGTTAAGCCTATGTGTATGTATCAGACCTGTGCACCCAAAGGCTATATGTTAGGCTTATGTGTCAAGCCTATGTGTATGTATTGAGCCTGTGTGCCCAAAGCTTATGTGTTGGACATGTGTGTCCAGAGCCTATGTGCCAAACTTGTGTATTGGGCCTGTGTGCCCAAAACCTATGTCTCCCTCAGCCTAGGGGGTGGAATGTAAGCTACACGGTTGTGCTTTGGTCAAGGAAGAGGTCGAGGTAAATATCCAGGCCAGGATGACTCAGCAAGTTTAGGGTGCAGGCGCAGACTCCACTTATTATATAACCTGTTTTGTGTAAACTTATACTTGGCTCTCAGGCACTATTGTTTGAAAAGTGTAACTGCCCTGACACTGTATAGGCTCAGTTCTCACTGGTGTCCAGAGAGAGAGTAACACTGCTTAGCCCTGTAGAGCTGGTCGCCTTGAAGGTGGGCAGGGGGGAGCCAGGAACTGGCTTGTGCCTAGAGGGAGAGTTAAGCTGCTGACCCTGTAGTTGGCCTTGCAGGTCAGGGAGTGCAGCTGCAAGTGTGGGGGCAGCAGGAGCCACAGAACTGGCTGCTGAGAGGAGCCACAGAGCCAGAGCAGATAGCCAAGATAAATGCAGACAGTGTTAGAGAGTTGCTAATGAGAGAGCTGCTGAATAAAGCCATATTCCACCTGCCTACGGCCTCCCAAGTGTTCTTTCGGCTATCTGCCCATCCACCCACTCCCCTCAGACCTCAGCTGGGGCTACAGCCTGACCCTGAACCTGACATTTGGCATAGTCGTGAGCCTAACAGTGAATAAAGTTTCTATTTTATATTTTGTGCATTAAAATTCTTAACTGCTTGAGTCAAAAGGCAAAGAAAACCAATATGTAAACAAGTTTTAAGAGTCTTCTGAGTGCAAGAAGAAAGGAAGATATACAATAGTTTTTAAATGTCTTCAATAACAGTAATTCCAAATATTGTATAGATTGTTGGAATTTAGAGTTTATTTTAATATATAAAGTATGGAATATATAATATATAATATATATATATGGAATATTTAATGTATAAAGTATGGAATTTAGAGTTTATTTTAATATATAAAATATGGCTTTATTCAGCAGCTCTCTCAGCAGCTCTCTCACGCTGTCCGCATTTATCTTGGCTATCTGCTATATACATTGCATATATAAATTCATAATTTTGATATTTATATACACATTAGTCCTTACATAAAACAATAAATTTGTTGTATTTAAAGATATACCTAAAAAAATTAGTCTCAGCAAAGGTACTTTCCTCAGATTATGCAGATGGTAATTGAAAGGCAAAATTAAATCCAACTTTTCTCTCCTTGCATGCATTGTTGTTTTCAATATATTTGTTGCCTCATTACACCTCATCTAATTCACAAGAAAATTAGAAATCTTATAGTATTTATTCAGTTTTTAGTATCTCACAGGGTTTTTAAAAATATAGTAGCACAAAGTAGAGTTTGAGTACAACAAAAGACAGAGTCAAATAACATTTGGATACATTGATGACTAATATTCTTTGGCAATGATGGTAATATCCTCTCATCCATTCAGGCTGGGAGTCTCAAATAATCTCATTACTCACATTGTTCACATTCAGTTTTCTCCTCAATTATACCACCAACATCAACTTAATCATTTCCTGCCTTTCAATTCCCATTGCTTTCACTTGACTCATTACTGTTCTACACCACTACAAGGGCATTAGCCTCTGCAGTCGGAATTAACAAAGGGTAGGCATCAAAAGGTGTATGGAAGTCAAATATGTTACAGATGTATTGTGTTAAGTTGATGTGCCTTCTGTTAAGCAAACGTGTATCCTGTTAAGTTGAATGAGCCTCCCATTAGCTTCAATGTGTTCAGATGGGTCCTGATAGGATGATAAATACCACTTAAGTCTTGAATACCAGCTAGGGGAAAGTTGCTGGGCACATCATTGGAACTCTTGCCCTTAGTTCAAATATCTCTGAGACTTGGGGGATACTAGGAATTAATATAACAAAGACACATCTATTCTAAGTTTCAGGTGCTGTGTCTAAGATTAGTAAACTGTGGAATCATGCAGTCATATTCTAAAGAGTAGTTGATGAAAGTGATGAAACTGTAATATGTGTAGAACAACAAACAGACTCCATTTGTAACAAGTTTTTAATTTGTCTCCTACTGGACAATTTTTAATCTTACACACAGCTGATAATGGAGTCTATTTGTAGCTACTGGAGACAGAATGACAAATAAGACATGGTCTCTGCTTTGAAGAATATAGAGATGGATGGACAGTATACACTTCCAACAATCAAATGCAATGTGAAGTGTGCTGCAATAGAACTATGCACCAATTTGCTTACCTGTGAGTAACTCAACTGATCTTATTGTGTAAGGTTACAGAAAAGGAATCCATAAAAGATCATGGAGAGGTCAATTTTTCATTGTAATTATTATAATCATTATGACTTATGAAACAATGAAAAAGTGGTGAAATATGTTAGAAAGATGTAAAAAATACATGTTAAAATTTATGTGTCAATAGTATAGCACGTTCAAAGAAAATAGAGAAGTTCTCTGTGCCTGGAGCCTTATGGATAGAAAAGAGAAAGGGGAAAAAAATGGAGAGAAAGTATGAGCTTCTGAAAGGGTATATTGCTGTGGGTAGTAGAGTATCATTATAGATTGTTATGGAATATCATGAATAGTTGTTTGTATTAAAGGGACAACACTATCACTATTAAGAGAACTCAGAGAGATGTGCAGAGGTATTAAAAGCAAGTAAATGGGTTAGGGGTCTCTAGTAATAGTCACAAAGTTGAGTAAGAATGGGGAAAATAATTGATACATTACTTTGTGGAATAATCATGTTAGGATGTGTTCTTTAGGAGATATTGAATACATCCAGGATGATATTGAAGTTCCAGATTTGTTTTAATTGAATGCATGAGAGTAAAACTAATGGAGAGTTAATGTAGAAAGCAGAGGTTAGGGAAGTGATTATATGGTCAATTTTAGAAAGATTCAGCTTGAAATGTTTAGAGAATTTTTTTTTCAAATCTTTTCTGTTGGAATAATGTCAGGTTTGCAGAAAAGTCACAGGATATTACAAAGTTTTCATATACCTTTCACTCAGCTTCCCCTAATATAAACATATTTTATTAATTGTATATATTTTCCATTACTTTGGAAACAAAGTACCACAAATTTAATGGCTTATACCAACACAAATTTATTAACTTATAGTTCACATGTCCAAAATGGGTCTCACTAGGCCGACATCACATTATTACCAGAGTTACTAACCTTTCTGGAGGCTCTAGGGGATAATCCAAATTCTTGTTTTGCCAGCTTATGGACAACCACCTTCCATTCTTGGTTTGTGGCCCCCTTTCATCTTCAAAGCGAGC
Source organism: Homo sapiens (assembly GCF_000001405.40). Classification (NCBI taxonomy): domain Eukaryota; kingdom Metazoa; phylum Chordata; class Mammalia; order Primates; family Hominidae; genus Homo; species Homo sapiens. The sequence continues at coordinate 118,384 of NW_013171810.1, forward strand.
AAGGGCCAGTTGCATTACTCTCATCAACAGTTTCTCATATCACATTAATCTAACATAGTGTATTTTACCTTCTTTTTCCACATTTGCGGAACATGAAATTACATTGGGCCCAACTGGGTAAACCAAGATCATCTACCAATTTAATGCCAATGTATTAGCGAATCTGAATTCTATTCACTATCTTAATTCCCTGTGTCATGTAGCTTCATATATTTACAGAAGGTTGCAGGGATTAAGAGAGAGATATCTTTGGAGGGTAATTATTCTTCCTACCATGGTTCTTTGGTCAAAGGGATTTTTTTGCATTTCACCAATTTTTCTATTATGGCTTCTCAGCACTATTTTATGTACAGCAGGTGAAGCCACATTGGTACCCTGCCCAAACATGTTTGGTTTCAATATTTTCGTAAAATGAATTTTAAATTATAGGATGGCTATTTACAATTCTCATCTTCTATGAATCCTCCCCACATGAAATATCCCAACCACTCTAAGAGCTGTGATGTCATAGAAGAACACGCAATATAAAGATAATCAAAACTCTCTTATTTTAAAACATAATAATTCTGAATAATGAGTTAATTTGGGATTTTCTTTTCTCTTCAGTATTCATTTTTTTTAACCTATAGGAAACACTCATCACTACTTTTATTGTTCCACTCGAATTCATCATTTTTCTCTGGCTTACTCAATAGCTGCCCTTCCTACTAAAGTGATTGCCCATCACACTATGTCTTCCACACAATGGCTCAAAGTATCTTTTTTAATGTATTGTGTTCTTTCCCCAATCTTCCAATGGCTTCCATTCACAATAAGAATAAAATTGTACCTTTCTGTCCTGAACTGAAAGACTGAACACGATCTTGCTCATCTTCCAGACCTTATCTTTCACCACCATCTGCCTGGTTTATTCTACTCCTCAAGTTCACCAAAAGCGTGCTGCCCTCAAGTTTTTCTACCTACTGTTTCTTCTGCTTGGAATATTCTTCCTCTAGGTATGTATAGACTTGTTCCTTATTCCTTACACTTTCTGTTCAAATGTCACCTTTTTGTAAGATTGTGAAAAAAAAAAGATCTAAAATTAAAAGCCCTACAAAAAATACCAATATTTTCTTTCCTCTTCCCTTTAATAAAATATCATTTAGTACTATTTGAATATTAGCTTTAAATATTAGTTACAATTAAAGCTAATCACATGCAATCAATATAATAGTTAATACTTTTCAATCATTTGAAGGTTTCTAGATGTCAAGAATTTTTCTAAGCATTTTAGATGTATTAAATCATTTGTTTCCAGAAATTCTCTGAGCTAAACACCATATTTATCTTCATTCTACAGATAAGTAAACTGAGTCTCAAAAATAAAGATTATTTTCCTGAGACTAGATAGCCATTTAATGGAAATGCCATCCAACCTTAGTGGGATGTTTCTAGATTACATAATGCTCACCCTTGTCTTATGTAGTCTCTGATATAGGCATTTTTTAAAAACAACTTTAAGAACTCTTTCAAAAATATATTTAAAATAAGTTATCTCTATAGCCATTTCTACAGGGATATTTAGGTAAGTGAAACTTAGGACACTTCTAAACTCTACCTTCATTTCTTTCAACATCTGAAACCTCTGCTTCATGCAATTACTTTTACCCAACTCAATTCTGGCTCTTTTATTTGTACTCTCAATTAATGTACATGCAGTCTGTCTGAAAGTCTCTTGTGTGTACTTCTTTGTCTAATTTTTATGTCTAATACAGGTAATTTGTGTTCCATGGCTTTTATCTTTCTCTGAAGCTTACCACTTGCATAAACAATGTACACTACTTTCTTTTTATGTCTTCATATCTCCATTAATTACATTCTCACCATCTGAAAGGAATATTCTATATGTCTCTGTTGTGGACTAAACTGTGTCCTGCTAAGCTTCTTATGTTGAAGTCCTAACTCCCAATGTTAATGTATTTAAAGATGAGGCGTATAAAGATATATTTAAGTTTAAATGAGGCCATAATTTGGGGCCCCAAATTTATAAAACTGGTGTCTATATGTGAATAAGAAGATACTGAGAGCTTCTTATGTTGAAGTCCTAACTCCCAATGCTAATGTAATTAGAGATGGGGTTTATAAAGATACATTTAAGTTTAAATGAGGCCATAATTTTAGGGCCCTAAATTTATAAAAACTGGTGTCTATATATGAATAAGAAGGTACTGAGATATTTCTATGTGTATGCACAGAAAAGAGGTCACATAAAGACACAGTGAGAAGGCAGCCATCTCCACAGCAGGAAGAGAAGCCTCACCAAAACCAAATCAGATGCCTCCTTAATTTTGAACTTCTAGCTTCCAGAACAGTGACAAAATTATTTTTTTATTGTTTAAGCCATCCAGTCTATGTTATTTTGTTATGGCAGCCTGAGCAGACTACAAAACGCTATTGAATTAAATTGTCATATCTTGGGTAGCTAGAAACCCAGGAACCTATATTAAGACAACATTCTACATGTGGGTCCACACCTCTTCTGAAATCCCTGCTGCCTTTTGAGATTTCAAAAGTGAGTAAGTCACATGCCAATAATAGTACCCCTTGTTATAACAAAAATATTTTGTATTACCTAATAATATAAGCAAAGGAACTTATATTTGTATTGGCAAATTTTTTCAGCGGTCCCCAGATACAGCTCCTTGCTCTTTGGTGCACAGCAGTGAGAATTGTCTTGTAAAGGTAGCCCTTGCTGAAGCTGAGCATCAAGTTGCTAAAGTACAACCAATTTGTAACCACCCCCTCTCCTTTAGCAGTTACATTTATACCCAGATTTTTATATCTTTTGTTGATATTACATCCCACAAGATGGCACATGACAGGAAATAGTTATAATCTTAGAAACATAGACTCTTGTGAGTCATAGGTACAGTTTTCATCCCTATGAATTGTTATATCCAAAGGAATTAAACCTCAGGCAACCCCTAACTAATTTTTCATTTTAAAAAGTTCCAAAAAAGCACATAATTTCTCTAGGTTAGACATGAAAAAGTTAGATCCTGTTTGTTGAATGAACATGTTGGCAGAAATGATGGTTAATCTAATGACCTGTGTTATAACTTCATAAAAAGTAAATTGTCGACTACTTTGGAGAAATATTTAAAAATCCATGCGTGATTTGAAAAAAGATCTAATGTAGGTTATGTTCTTTTTTTTTTTTTTTTTGAGACAGAGTCTCACTCTGTCACCCAGGCTAGAGTGTAGTGGCGCGATCTCTGCTGACTGCAACCTCCGCCTCCTGGGTTCAAGCGATTCTCCTGCCTCAGCCTCCTAAGTAGCTGGGATTACAGGTGTGCGCCACCATGCCCGGCTAATTTTTTTATTTTTAGTAGAGACAGGGTTTCACCATGTTGGTCAGGCTGGTCTCGAGCTCCTGACCTTGTGATCCACCTGCCTCGGCCTCCCAAAGTGCTGGGAATACAGGCGTGAGCCACCACGCCTGGCGAATGTGAGTTATATTCTTAAATGTTCTGTTTTTATGTTTCTCACGGGAAATAATCATTTTCACTCAAAACTATATTGTTCCGTAGTTATTGGCTTAAAGTATCCTCTTAGTGACAAGATAATTTCTTCACTCATTAAACTGAAGTGTTCTTAGCACTTAATATCCAAACTTACAATACCTGCAAGCATGCTCTTTCAGTGATATTAGATTTCTCAACACCATCAGACAGGCCTTTCTTTTTTTTTTTTTTTTTTGAGACGGAGTCTCATTCTGTCACCCAGGCTGGAGTGCAGTGGTGCAATCTCGGCTCACTGCAACCTCCGCCTCCCTGGTTCACGCCATTCTCCTGCCTCAGCCTCCTGATTAGCTGGGACTACAGGAGCCTGCCACCACTCCTGGCTAATTTTTGTATTTTTAGTAGAGACAGGGTTTCACCATGTTGGTCAGGCTGGTCTCGAACTCCCGACCTTGTGATCCGCCTGCCTTAGGCTCCCAAAGTGCTGGGATTACAGGCATGAGCCATCGCACCCGCCCCAGCCAGGCCTTTCTAATGTAGCATCAAAATACATTACATAGCATGTGGTTCATTTTAAGTCAGCCTTTTGTATTTGAACAACACCTTGTACCCTGATGAAACAAAACATATCCTAACATTACTATAAAATATCTCTAATAGGAAATATATTTCTTGACTCAGAAAAAACCTGCGACACCTTTCCTAAAACTGTTCTTAGTGGCTGGTTGTATCCAAGTTCAGTTTCACTAAGATTCACCATGGCAGTTCACCAAGGCCTCTATGAATAAATGCAGAGGAAAAATCATCACAAAAGTTTCCTAGAGTCTAAGTTGGCCAGAGGAGAGATAACTCAACACAAGTATGATTTAGACAAAGTATGTTTGGCATGCTCATTATATCTCTGTACCCTTTCACCTTACAGAATCTGCATCTATCCTCTATGAGCTCCTGTCTTCCTCATGTTCTTTGTATGGATGAAGTAGACATGAAAAGTCACTAGTATTTCTGTTTCATTTGAATATCTTCCCAAGAAAAATTGAAGGGAACTTCTGGCTAATAAGGATGAATTATTAGTCCATTTAACTATCCTTCTTTTCAAGTCTGACCTGAATATAAAAATGCAAATAAAACTGGAGGGGGAAGAGGCCTGGCATTGTCAAAAGAAGCAGAGTTAAAAAACAAACAAACAAACAAACAAACAAAAACAGAAGCAGAGGGAAACAGAGAAATCCATGCAGGAGAACTTTCGAAAAATTTGTTCTAGATATTGTGTAGCTACTACTGGGTTAGGGAAAAAGCTAATGAACCAATAATTCCCTGTAATTAAAAACAGCTTGCTTGATAGGAGATACCCATTCCAAAATATCCTTACTAGTCCAGTTCTAACTCTAAGGAACAAGGATCAACAGCAAGGGTATAGAATTTATCATGATCTATGTAAGTGTTCCTGGTAGCACTTCTACCTAGCCTAAATTTGATCCAACTATACATATAAGGCAAAGAGCTAGAAACAAAGATAATGAATTATACCATAGAAATGTAGGAATATTGTCTTAGTTTATTGTCAGCTCTTATAACAAAAATTATGAATATAGGATAAAACTTTCTGAGATAATTAAACCAATTTATTTTTCTGCGAGTTAACCTAATTACTATTTTAAGACTTCATTTAGGCTGGATTAATTTCTCCTCTTTGAGTAAACTCAATCAGTTTGGAGTGAGACTTGCGCTCTTTCTGTTATCTTCCTCTGGTTAAAGATAAGGGGCAAGAGTTTACATTAAGGCATTGAGAAAGGAGATAGTGTCTTGACCAGTGCCTCTGAAACAATAGAGTGTATTTAAATCACCCCAGATTATTACAGAGCAAATTCTGATTAAATGGATTGGAATGGAACTTGAGAGTTCTCATTTCTTAGAAGTGAAGAAGCCACTGATGCAGGTGGGCAAGACCTTACTTTGAGTAGCAAAAGACTCAAGTCTCTATCATATATCCAACTATGACTCCAGGAGTTGTTCTATTAAATATTGCATTTTACTTACAGATATGGCAATCTGCCTCATTGAAAATAAAAATATTCTCTGTTTTCCCTCTAGGTCTCTATTTCTAGGGAGTCTCGGTATGGTAACCATATATCTTGGTTTTATTAGAATAGTATATGCCAGTTGAGCCACCTTAATTACTAATAGTGCCCTCATCATACTTGAAAGCACCTGAGTTGGGCTGGTATATCATATTGCTATCTTAGACCTAGGCCTTTTTATGCTACAGAGTCCCCTCATCACAAATTTGTAATTGCTATAGAATAATTGTTTCTTTCCTCAGTGCAATTCTGTGTCTTCTTCATTTTCTCCAGGAAATTTAGTTACTTGGCGAAGCCACCGTGATGCTGGGTAAATTCCCTCTCAGCTTTTCTGAGAGAAAAGGAGGAACAGCCTAATGTATTTTGGGGTTCTCAAATGGTTATTGGAAACTATCACACTGCTTAAGAACTAAACCTGTCATTAAATTAGTGAGCGAGGAGAAGAGCTACTTGGCAAAAGTCCTTCTAAATCTTTCTTTATTTTCTAATATATATTGTATATCTCTGACATTATTTAGTCTGTCAAGGACAGGATATGGGTGATAGGAGGATAAAATGTCTGATCAATTACACTTTCAAAATATACTTTTATCTAGAATTTGTTTTTGAATTCTAAAGGGCTATAATTCATTGTCTATTTATTTGGTCCCTGAAAACTCCCTTCTCGGGGCAGCTTCACATCATGAAACTAAATGAGATGGGAGAGCAGAAATCTAAACACAATCTGTTGTAAACATATAAATGGGACTTAAACTCCAAAACACAAGACTGATTTAATAATGTCACTACTTACATCTCTGTATTTTACCAGTTTCCCAAAAGTTATGAAATTTTTAAATAGAAAAAATCTGTTACAATCAAAATTTAATAGCATCTATATGATGTAGAAATTTTGAATAAAAAAACCCACATGAATGATTTAAATCTAATTAAATATTGTTACAAAGGAAAATTACATTTCCTTTTGTGAAAATAAATACAGTAAAAGCAACAGATATGCAGCAATACAACCAATTTTTTAAAATGAGATTCTCAAAAATCAGACTTTTTAAGAACCTAAACAGTTGCACCAACAAACAATATATTTACATTAATATTTAAGTTTCAATGATCTCATATAAAATTAGACAGTCATAAACCATATAGTATATGAATGCAGGATAGAGTACATAAAATGAAAAATATCAATACTAAGTTAAAAATCAGAATTGAGTTATTGATTTAGATGTTTCAAAATCAAAATCAAAAGAGGGAAAATGAAAACGTTCCATGAAACTTAAAGATATGCACAAAAAAAGAAAACAAAAAATGTGTAAGTGATCACACTGCTGATGGGAATGTAAACTAGTACAACTACTATGGAAAACAGTGTGGAGATTCCTTAAAGAACTAAAGGTAGAACTGCCATTTGATCCAGCAATTCCACTACTGAATATCTACCCAGAGGAAAAGAAGTCATTATACGAAAAAGATACTTGCTCACAGATGTTTATAGCAGCACAATTCACAATTGCAAAAATGTGAAACCAACCGAAATTCCCATCAATCAATGAATGGATAAAGAAACTGTGAGACATAAATAGATAGATAAATAGATAGATACACACACAATGGAATACTATGTACTATTGCATGTGTGTGTATACATATATACACACAATGGAATATATATATACACACAATATACTATATATATATATATATATATATATATATATATATATATATATATATACATACACACACAATGGAATACTACTCAGCCATAAAAATGAATGAATTAATGGCATTTGCAGCAACCTGGATGTGATTGGAGAGTATTATTCTAAGTGAAGTAACTCAAGAATGGAAAACCAAACATCATATGTTCTCACTCATAAGTGGGAGCTAAGCTATGAGGATGAAGAGGCATAAGAATGACACAATGGACTCTGGGGACTCAGAAGGAAAGGGTGGGAAGGGAGTGAGGGATAAAAGACTACAAATTGGGCTCAGTGTATACTGCTCAAGAGATGGGTGCACCAAAATCTCACAAATCACCACTAAAGAACTTACTCATGTAAGCTAATACCACCTGTTCCCCCCAAAACCTATGAAATTTAAAAATTTAAAAATTTAAAAAATTAAATTTAAGTTCTGAAAAAATATATATATGCATGAGATTAGTATTCTTTTGAAAAACAATCAAAATTAGAAAGCAGAAGAAAAGAAAATAAACAATGATCCAAGATATATTGAAAAAAAAAGTCTAGCATTCTTGAGCTGAAGAATTTTGAGTTGGCACAATTGTAAAAGCTTACCAAGTACTGCAGAAAAAAATAGCAACATGACTAAACATATTTTGTCAAAAATTTTGAATTTTAAAGATGAGGGAAAAATTCTGTTTTGCCAGGTAGGAAAAAAATACCTATATATGCTGAAAATATTTTGTTCTGCAAAATCAGCTTTAAAAATTTAAGTAGGCAGGGCACAGTGGCTCACGCCTATAATCCCAGCACTTTGGGAGGCCAAGGCGGGTTGATCACGAGGTCAGAAGTTCGAGACCAGCCTGGCCAAAATGGTGAAACCTCGTCTCTACTAAAAATGCAAAAATTAGCCGAGCATGGTGGCAGGCGCCTCTAATCCCAGCTACTCAGGAGGCTGAGACAGGATAATTGCTTGAGAGAAGAAGACAGAGGTTGCAGTGAGCCGAGATTGTACCACTGCAACTCCAGCCTGGGCAACAAGAGAGAAACTCCATCTCAAAAAAAGAAAAAAAAATTAAGTAAAGAAAAAATGGAGAACCACCTATGAAGCTTGGAGAGGAAATGATTATACGCTGTTATTTCCATACTGAAACAATTATTTATGAGACACAGCAAGAATTATTACCATAAATATACCACAAATACAAGTATTACAAGATGAACTACCTCTAGAAAAGGAGACATTGTACTTCCAATTGCCATATTTCTTTACTGGAAAAATCCAAGGAAATAAATAGAGAATTTGGAAACACAAAAGCAATATTAATAATAAGTAAATATAAAATTTTTATGGTAATAAAACATTTGAACAAATGAAAAAAGATGTGACTTATATCACATCTGCAACACAGAGGTTTTTGTTGTGGTTGTTTTGTTTTCTAAATTAACTGAGAATTTAATTAAAATTTCTAAACCGAGAGTTTTTGTAAATATTCAGAAACAGATTTAAGCTTTGTATAGAAAAATAAGTGAATGAGACTGTCAGCATTTAAAAAATAAATAATAAAATGTATATTAGAAATATGTTAAATAAAATAGCATAACATTGATGCAAGAATTTATAGACAGCTCAATAGACTAGAATACAAAGACAAGGCTAAACTTTTCAATAATTTTGTTTTCATAAAAGTGACATTCAAATCCAAGGTTATTGAAATAAAGATTCAATAAATGGTCTAAAGAAAAACATTGTTGAATTTTCTTTTAAAAGTTGATTTATCTTAAAGTAATTCATACCTTAATATTGAATTATTTAAAGACCTAAAAGTAAAAGTTATATCTTGAGAAAGATGAGGAAAATGACTATTGCTGTTGGGAAGAATTTTTATTTCAAAGCATAAAACAGAGGAAATGATGATGGAACGATTTTTTTCACGTAGGCAGGAATCATTTTTATCCTTCAAACACTGTTGAACAAAATGTTAAGTGTGCCCTGAAAACAGAGGAGAAACTACAACATGTCAACTTTTAATTAGGTGGTTTAGCTTCTAAAATAAACACAGAAACATTGTGGCTTAGTACCAAATTTATTCCATTCTCTGCTCAAAGTAGGTGTGTGGGTGGTGTCTGCTCAAAGTAGGTGTGTGTGGGGTGCCTCCATTGAATGCAGATATTCATGAACCCATTATCCTTCAACCTTGTGGTTTCATAAGCCTTCTTTTGCCTCAGTTTTTAGCCTACAGGTATAGATAACAATTGGATAGAAAATTTTCTTAACAACCTCTTCAAATTAATTGACATTGTTTTCCGTCACAATTCATATTTGGAAAACAGCTTCATGTTCCAAATAGCTTCAAGAGAGGTGGAAAATACCTATAGTAGCTTTTGCAGGAACAGGAGAGCTTGCATATTGATAACACCAGCACTAGTGGTTTCTAGCACATAATATTTAGATTGTGTTGATGCATTTTATAGGCAGTGAGTTTAGTAGACTTTTCTGAGAGGCAGCTATCTAAGTGTAAAGTATGTCTATAAACTAGCTATGTAACCTTGGGCATGGGGTTTAACCTGTCTTAGTTTCCAGTTTGCTCATCTACAAAATGAGGAAAATCATAATATCAAATTCAGTGACTTGTTTTGAAGGAATAGTAAAATATACATGGAAAATTTCAGCATAATGTTCATTATATGTACACTATTATATTATTAGATTAATATCATGAGACTTCCTATCAGCATAAAAATAAAAATAACTAACAGAGCCTTAAAAAATATATAGACCTCTGAGCAACTGAGAGATATCAATGATCAATTTGTAAATAAAACATTTAAGTGCAATTGGAATAAAAATAAAAATGCCACTTTTATTTTTCTCATCCAAATTATAGGGATTGTCATTAACAAATATTATTTTTTTCAACTTTTTTGGGGTATTGGCAAATAAAAAATGTATTTAAGATGTACAACTTTATGTTAGATACATGTATGCATTATGAAATGATCTCCATCATTAAGCTGGTTAATATATCCATCACCTCACAAAGTTACCATTGTTTTTGGTGTGTGATGAGAACAGTTAAGATCTACTCACTTATCAAAATTCCAGTATACAATACAACATTATTAGCTGTAGTCATCATCCTGTACATTAGATCTCCAGAATTTATTCATCTTGAATAACAGAAATTTGTACCTTTGACTAACATGTCCCCGGTTCCCCCAATCATTATCTGCTGGCAATCACCATTCTACTGTGTGCTTTTATGAGTTCAACTATTTTAGATTCCACACATAATTGCAGTCATGCGGTATTTGCTTTTCTGTGTCTGGATTATTTGGTTTTGACTAATGTCCTCCAGTTTCATCTATTCAGTCACAAATGGCAGGATTTTCTTTTATTAAACTCTGATTAACATTCCATTGAATATGCATATAGACCACACTTTATTTGTCTACTCATCCATTGATGGACATTTACCTGTTTCCATGTCTTAGATATTTAGACTAATGCTGTAATAAACATGAGGGTGCACAAATATCTCAGAGATGATGAATTATTTTATTTTGTATATTCATCCGGAAGTGTGGTTGCTGGATCATATGGTAGTTCTATTTTAAAATTTTTTAGGAAACTTCATATTATTTTTTATAATGGCTGTATCGATTTTCTTTCCTACCAAGAGTGTGAAAGGGTTCCCTCTTCTCCCCATTCTCACCCACCAACACTTACTTTGCCTTTTAATAATAGCCATTTTAAAAGGTGTGAGGCGATATCTCATTGTAGTTTAGATTTACATTTCCCTGATGATTAGTGATGTTGAGCACTTCTTCAAAAACCTGTTGACGATTGTGTGTCTTCTTTTAAGAAATATCTATCCAGATCCTTAGATCAATTTTTAATCAGGTTATTGCTTTATTTGCTATTGAATTCTTTGTGTTACTTATATATTTGGGATATTAACCCCTATCAGATATATAGTTTACAAACATTTTCTCCCATTCCATGAGTTGCCTTTTTACTCTGTTGATTGTTTTATTTGCTTTGTAAAAAGTTTTTATTTGAATCAATCCCCCTTGTCTATTTTTGCTTTTGTTGCCTGTACTTTTGGCCTCATATTCAAAAATAAATACCGAGACTAATGTCAAGATGCATTTTCCTATGTTTTCTTTCTTTTGTTTTCTCTGAGGCAGAGTCACACTGTGTTTCCCAGGCTAGAGGACAATGGGGAGATCTTGGCTTATTGCAGCCTTGACCTTCATGGTTCAAATGATCCTCCTGCCTCAGCCTCCTAGTTGGGACTACAGGTGTGCACCACCATGTGTGGCTAATTTTTTGTATTTTTGGTAGAGACGGGGTTTCACCCGTTTCCCAGGCTGGTCTCAATCTCCTGGGCTCAAGTGATCCATCAGCCTTCCCCCCTTGAAGTGCTGGGATTACAGGCATGAGCCACCATGCCCAGCCCTCTTTTAGCAGTTTTATGAATTAAGGTCTTACACTTAAGTCTTTAATTCACCTTGAATTGATTTTCTTATATGGTGTGAGATAAGGGTCCAGTTTCATTATTTTGCATGTGAATATCCAGTTTTCCCAGGACCTTTTATTTAAGAGACTATCCTTTTCCCTTTGTGTGTTTAGCACCCTTTACAAGAGATAGTTGACTATAAATATATGGATTTATTTCTGGACTCTGTTATGTTCCATTGACCTAGATGTCCATTTTTTGCCAGTATTTTACTGTTTTTGTAGCAGGACAAGCTGCAGACAAAACCCCTTAGACACTGAGTTAAAGAAGGAAGGGCTTTATTTGGCCGGGAGCTTCGGCAAGACTCATGTCTCCAACAAGCGAGCTCCCGAGTGAGCAATTCTTGTCCCTTTTAAGGGCTTACAATTCTAAGGGGGTCCGTGTGAGAGAATCATGATTGATTGAGCAAGCAGGGGGTATGTGACCGGGGGCTGCACGCACCAGTAATCAGAATGGAACAGAACAGGACAGAGATTTTCACAGTGCTTTTCCATGCAATGTCTGGAATATATGGATAACATAACCGGTTAGGTCAGGGGTCGATCTTTAACCAGGCCCAGGGCGTGGCGCCGGGCTGTCTGCCTGTGGATTTCATTTTTGCCTTTTAGTTTTTACTTCTTCTTTCTTTGGAAGCAGAAATTGGGCATAAGACAATATGAGGGGTGGTCTCCTCCCTTATTCTGATTATTGTAGTTTTGTATTGTATTTTGAAATAAGGATGTGTGGTGTCTCCAGCTTTGTTTTGTTCAAGGTTACTTCGGGTATTTGGGGTCTTGTTTTTTTAGATGTTTTTCTATTTCTGGAAATAATGTTATTGGAATTCTGATCGGAATTGCATTAAATCTGTAGATCAGTATGCATACTAAAACATTTTTAAAGTATTAATTCTCTTCTAAACCATTTACAGAGGATGTCTTTCCATTTATGTGAGTCTTCTTTAGTTTCCTTCAACAATGTATTATAATTTTCAGTGTATAAATATTTCACCTCTTTGGTTAAGCTGATTTCTAAGTATTTTGTTATTTTTGTTGCTATTGTCCGTGGTATATTTTGATAGCTCATTGTTTGTGTATAGAAACATAGCTAAATTTTGTATGTTTAATTTGTATGCTGCAACTTAACTGGATTTTTTTATTAGTTCTAACATTAATTGTTGTTGACTATTTAGGATTTTCCTACATATATACTCATGTCATCTGAGAGAGATAATTTTAATTCTTCCTTTCCAATTTGGGTGCCTTTTATGTATTTTTTTTCTGTCTTTCTCTGGCTAAGACTTACAGTACTATCTGCAATAGAAGTGGTGAGAATGTATATTCTTGCCTTGTACAAGATTGCAGAAGAAAAGCTCTCAATTTTTCCCAAAGTTGTTTATGATTTTAACACTGGGCTTTTCATATATGGTCTTTATTGCATTGAAATAAGTTCCTTCTATACCTATTTTGTTGAGAGTTTGGTGAATATACATAGAATTTTGTCAAATGCCTTTTATAAATCTACTAAGATAATAATGTCATTTTTATGTTTCATTATGTTAATGTGGCCCATTAGATTGACTGATTTGTGTATGCGGAACCTTTCTGCATCCTAGAAATAAATCCCACTTGGTCATGGTGTATAATCCCTTTAATGTGCTGTTGCATTTGGTTTGCTAGCATTATGTTGTGGATATTTGTATGAATGTTAGTTATTCATAATGGTCTGCTTTCCTTTCTTGTGGAGTCTTTCTCTAGCTTTGGGATGGGTACTAATGACCTCACAAAATGAGTTTGAATGTGTTCCCTTTGCTGTTTTGGGGGAGTGTTTAAGAAGAATTAGTATCAATTATTCTTTGAATGTTAGATAGAATTTACCCATCTAGCCATTGAGTCTTGAAGTTTTCTTTATTTGGAGATTTTTGCTTAATCATTTCATCGTCTCTTATTTGCTTTGTTCAGGCCTTCAATTTATTCTTCATTCAGTTTTAGTATATTGTACGTTTCTAGAAATTTATCCATCCATTCTATTTTGTCAACTTTTTTGAGATATAATTGTTCCTAATAGGTCCTTCTGGTCCTTATTATATCTGAGACATCTGTTGTAACGTATTGTCTTTCATTTCTGTTTTTATTTCCTTTTGTCTTCTTTCTTTATTAAAGAATTTGTCTTTTTTTTTTAAAAAAACAGTAATTTTGCTCATTTTTCTGTTGTCCTATTATTTATTTATTTCTGCTGTAATCTTTAGTATTTCTCTTCTGCTGACTTGGTCCTAGTTTCTTCTTTTTCTAGTTCCTTGATGTATAGAGTTTGATTATTTATTTGATATATTTATTCATTTTAATGTGGGTGGTTATTGCTGTAAACTTCCTTCCTAGAATCACTTTTGCTGTGCCTCATATATTTCGGTAAGTTTTGTTTTAATTTTCACTTTGTCTAGGGATTTTTTTAAATTTCTGTATATATGGATTTTATAATAGAAGTCTTTTGTGAATACTCACTGTTGGTTAAGGTCTACAAAAATTCCCTCACGTAGTTATTGTATGTAATAATTTAAGCCAATGCTCTTGGCCAGACACCATAATAAATAGTAAATTCCCATTCACAGAGAAGAGCAAGGTAAACACAAGCTCTACTCTCTTATCCTTATGCTCTAATTAGAGAAACAAAAAATTGTATAAATTAAAAGAGAATATTCAAAACAAATAAAAAACTAGATGAAGCAATGGCCAATTATATTGATAAGGAAGCAAGGTTCCACTAGGGGGTCACAGAAAATATTTGCCATCATAGGATTATTTACGTTTATATCTCCAAAAGTAAAGAAAAGAATAGGCAAAAGTCTAGAAGACTACTCCAGGTAAAGGAAGTGAGTAGCCAGGGCAAGACATTGGTGCTTTAGATGGACTAGCGTGTTCTAGAAACATATAAAGAATGTTGTAACTGGAGCTGAGTGAGGAAGGGCAAGTATTCAGAGATGAAGTTGGAGAGAGAAGCTGGACCTGGATCACCAGGCCATGTTAAGGAGTTTAGATTGTATTCAAAATCTAATGGAAAGCTATTACAAGATTTAAAGGGTGTGACCAACATGACGTAAATTACATTTAAAAAAATCACTCCACAGTAAAGAATGTATTGGAAAGTCACTGGAGAAAGCAGTTAAAAGTCCATGGCAACAGTCCAAGAATTAATTGTGACTTGGACAAGAGTGGTATCAGCAGAGATGGAGAGAAGGAGAATGAATCAGTATATTGCAGAGTCAGAAAGGACAAGGTTTTCTGCTGAATTGGTTGTGAGTGGTCAGAGGGTGGAGGAAACCATGACTGTTATTCTTGACTTTGGTATCTGGGTAGATTTTATTGCTCTTTACTAAGAATATACTGGTGAACCACTCTGAAGTAAAAATCAAGAACATTATTTTAGAGATTGTTTTACCTAGCTTAGACGACCATAACACAAAATATCATAGACTGGGTGGCTTAAACAACAGAAAATTATTTCTAACCATTCTGGAGACTGAGATGTCTAAGATCAAACCACAATGTAGGTTTTATCATCAGGCCTCTTCTCTTGGCTTTTTCACGACAATCCTCTGGGTGGCATTGAACCAACCCAGTTCTCCTCCACTTTCTAATTTGTTGTTCTAAAGAATAACTATAGAATACGCTTGGAACTTAATTTCCTGATATAGGAAAGAGAATGGCCGGAACAGCACATTTGCCCAGCATTTTCTGTGACACCTGATGTATAAACCCCAGGGCATGCTACTCCCTAGACTCCCTCAGCTATGGTGCACGTAGGACATGTGCAGGCAAGACTTTATCCACCCCAGGAAGCTTGCTGAGTCTTGAGGAACTAGCTCAAAATGAATTCTCATTTTCCTTTGCTGCCTATCTGTAAATAATAAACCACTTCATGTAACATGTTTTGTGCATGAATCTTTTGTCCCACTGGACTGAAAGAAGTTGGCAGTCACTACACTGTAAACCAGCTTCACAGCTCATATGTGACTACCATCTCTCTGTGAGCACACATGAACTCTTCTTCATATATATAGTATGAGTGACGGAGAGAGAGAGCACACACTCTCTGGTCTTTTCTTGTAAGAGCATTAATCTCATTATGAAAGTACTAGCCTCATGTCCTCGTATAATTCTAATTACCTCCCAAAAGCCCCACATCCGAATGCTGTTATACTGGGAGGTAGGGCTTCAACATATGAAGTTTAGAAAGTAAACATTCAGTTCATAACAGACATATTAAATTTGAAACAGCTCAAAGACATCAAAGTAGTTGAATCAAGCAAAGCTTATAGATGAATTCGGAATTAACAGAATGGCTCTGGAAGTGCTTTTAGTAATCATGAGCATATATCTATACCATATACATGGGGATGGGAAGAGGTATAGTGAGAGCCCTGAGGCATTTTGATAGTTAGACATCAAGTAGGGTGGAGAGGAGTTAGAAAATAGATGAACAAATAATCACCTTTATTGTCTGAGAAAAGTACACTCATAAAATATCATTAAAACTGGAAGACCATGTTTCAACAGTTAATTGCTTGCAATGCTCTAAGAATTCAAATTTAGATAAGAGGGGAAAATGTCTGTTGTATTAGGCAACAAAAGGTCATTTTTGACCTTAAGAAACAATGATGGCCAGGCGTGGTGGCTCATGCCTGTAATCCCAGCACTTTGGGAGGTCAAGGCGGGCAGATCACCTGAGGTCAGGAGTTCAAGACAAGCCTGGCCAACATGATGAAACCCCATTTCTACTAAAAATACAAAATTTGCTGGGTGTGGTGGTGCACTCCTGTAATTCCAACAACTCAGGAGGCTGATGCAGGAGAATTGCTTGAACCTTGGAAGTGGAGGTTGTAGTGAGCCAAGATCGCGCCACTGTACTACTGCCTGGGCGACAAGAGTGAAACTCTGTCTCATTAAATAAATAAACAAACAAACAAACAATGATGAAAGAGTTCTAAATTTGTATAAATGATTTTTGTTGTGAAAGTCTTATGAATATAAAAGCAATAGCTCATGTAAAATTCAGGGGTAATTTCTTCAAGAATATTATCATCAGTAAAAAATTAGAAATATTTAGAGAGCTTTGTATATAAGCATATTTTTTAGTAATTATAATACACAAAAATGGCAAATTGCATAATATCTGGTAAGAAGGCATTAGATTTAAAATTCACATTTATAAAAGAAAATGCTATATAAAGTTAATAAAATCATGCATTAGAACAATAATTAACTGAGAATAACTTTTGGGGGATTTTTTTGTGTATATATATATGTGTGTATGGGGTGGTGGTGGATATATATATATATTTTATATACATAGTTTTCTAAAATTAAATGTAACAAAATTATATTTGAACTACAGGTTTATATAAATATATATCTCTACCCATCAATCCAACTGGTTGTCCTTTCCTTATTGATTGCATTTTATTGCTTTATATTCTGAACCTAAAATAGGCCAAGGGTGGTGGCTCACTTCTGTAATCCCAATCACTTTTGGAGGCTGAGGTGGGAAGATTGCCTGAGCACAGGCATTCGAGACCAGCCTGAGCAACATAGCTAGACTCTGTCTCTACCCGCCCCCCCAAAAAAAATTAGCTAGTTGTAGTGGCATGCACCTGTGGCCCCAACTAGTCAGGAAGGTGGGACAGGAGGATCACTTGAGCAGAGGAGTTTGAGGTCGTTGAGGCTTCAGTGAGCTGTGATCACACCACTGCATTGTATTCTAGGTGGCAAAGCAAGGCTGATATGGTTTGGCTCTGTGTCCCCACCCAAATCTCATCTCAAATTATAATCCCTATAATCCCCGGGTGTCAAGGTTGAGACCTGGTGAAAGGTGATTGAACACGGGGGCAGTTTATCCCACGCTGTTCTAATGATAGTGAGAGTTTTCACAAGAGCTTGTGGTTTTATACGGGACTCTTCCTCCTTGGCTCGTTGCTCTGTCTTGCCTGCCACCATGTAAGATGTTCTGTTAATTCTCTCTCGCCTTCTGCCATGATTATAATTCCTAAGAACTCTCCAGCCATGTGGAACTGTGAGTGAATCAAACTTCTTTCCTTTATAAATTACCCAGTCTTGGATATCTCTTTATAGCAGCATGAGAATGGACTAATACTGTAAATTGATACTGGGAGTGGGGCTGTGCTATAAAGATACCAGAAAATGTGGAAATGATTTTGGAACTCTGTACAGGCGGAGGTTGGAAGAGTTTGGAAGGCTCAGAAGAAGATAGAAAGATGTGGGAATGTTTGGAGCTTCCTAGAGACTTATTGACTGGTTTTGACCAAAATACTTATAGTGATATGGACAGCAAAGTCCAAGATGAGGTGGTCTCAGATGGAAATGGGGAACTGGAATAAAGGTCACTCTTGCTATGTTTTAGTAAAGAGACTGGTGGCATTTTTCCCCTGCCCTAAAGATCTGTGGAACTTTGAACTTGAAAGAGATTATCTGAAATTGGGACTTATATTTGAAGGGAGAGAGTAAAAGTTTGGAAAGCAGAGAGTAAAAGTTTGGAAAATTTGCAGCCTGGCCATGTAGTAAAAAACAAAAGCCTCTTTTCTGGGGAGAAATTCAAGCTGGCTGCAGAAATTTGCATAAGTAATGAGGAGCCAAATCTTTGTCAACCACACAATGGGGAAAGTGTCTTCAAGGTATGTCAGAGACCTTCACAGCAGCCTTCCCATTGCAGGCCCAGAGGCCTATGAGGAAAAAAATGGTCCCGTGAGCTGCACTCAGGGCCCCACCTACCCACCCCACTGCTGCTCTGTGCAGCCTTGGGACTTGGCACCTTGTGTCCCAGTTGCTGCCACTCCAGCTCCAGCTGTGGCTAAAATGGGCTAACTTACAGCTCAGGCCGTTGCTTCAGAGGGTGCAAGCCCCAAGCCTTGGTGGCTTCCATGTGCTGTTAGGCCTGTGGGTACACAGAAGTGAAGAATTGAGGTTTGGGAACCTCTGCCTAGATTTCAAAGGATGTACGGAAAGGCCTGAATATCCAGGCAGAAGTTTGCTGCAGGAGCAGAG
Organism: Homo sapiens; assembly: GCF_000001405.40. Lineage (NCBI taxonomy): Eukaryota > Metazoa > Chordata > Mammalia > Primates > Hominidae > Homo > Homo sapiens. The sequence continues at coordinate 137,204 of NW_013171810.1, forward strand.
CCCTCATGGAGAACCTCTGCTAGGGAAGTGACAAAGGGAAATTTGGGATTGGAGCCCCCACACAGAGTCCCCACTGGGCTACTGCCTGGTGATTCTGGGAGAAGAATGCCACTGTCCTGCAGACCCCAGAATGGTAGATTCACCGACAGTTTGAACCATATGCCTGTAAAAGCCACAGGGGCAGAACTACTCAAGACTGTGGGAGCCCACCTATTGCATCAGTGTGACCTGGATGTGGGACATGGAGTCAAAGGAGATCATTTTGGACATTTAAGATTTAATGACTGCCCTGCCTGGTTTCAGACTTGCATGGGGCCTTTAGCCTCTTTGTTTTGGCCAATGTCTCTCATTTGATTGAATGTATTTACCCAACACCTGAAGTAACTAACTTATTTTTGATTTTACAGGCTCATAGGCAGAAGGGACTTGCCTTTGCTCAGATGAGACTTTGGACTGTGGACTTTTGAGTTAATGCCAGAATGAGTTAAGACTTTGGGGGACTATTGGGAAGGCATTATTGATTTTGAAATGTGAAAACACATGAGATTTGGGAGGGGCCAGGGCAGAATAATATGATTTGGCTCTGTGCCCCACCCCCCAAATCTCATCTCGAATTTTAATCCCCATAATCCCCACATGTGAAGAGCAGGACCTAGCAGTAGGTGGTTGGATCATGGGGTCTATTTCTCCCATGCTGTTCTCATAGTAGTGAGTGAGTTCTGACAAGATCTATGGTTTTATAAGGGGCTCTTCCCCCTTCGCTCATTCACTCTCTCTCTTGCCTGCTACCACATAAGATGTGCCTTTGTTTCTCTCTTGCCTTCCGCCATAATTGTAAGTTTCCTGAGGCCTCCCCAGCTATGCAGAACTGTGAGTCAATTAGACCCCTTTCCTTTATTCCTTTATAAATTATCCAGTCTTGGGTATGTCTTTATAGCAGTGTGACAATGAACTGATACAAAGTTCTTGTGTCAAAAAGCTACAATACAATAAAATAAACCTAAAGTGCATGAATTGGATTTATTTGAAATATATTAAAACTTTTTTGGGGCTTAATATGATGTTCCACATGCCTTTGAAAAGATTTCTTTTCTTTCAGTTGTAAAATTCTAGTTGACTTAATTTAATTCAACTAATAAAATCTTCAATATTTTTGCCTGATATTAATTTCTGAAGATTTGTTAAACTTTCAACTACTGTTTATATATTTCTCCTTTTATTTTATTCAGTTGTTGCATTATATATTCTGAGGTGAAAGAGTGTGTGTGTGTGTGTGTGTGTGTGTGTGTATTAAATGTGTATATTCATGGTAGTTAAACTTTTTATCTATATATAAAATTTATTTATCTTTATGTCAATGCCTCATTCTATATTGTTTAATTTTAAAATAGATAACTCCTTTTTTTGTTTATGCTTCTCTGAATAAGCTTAGTTTTCCCGATTTGCTTTATTATGTTTCTTGTGGACAACTCGTTGATAGATGACTTTCTTGATTTGATGGTATATCTCATATTTATTGTAATAAATGTGATATAACATATTTTTCCTTTTATTAATGTTTTCTATATATACTATCTTGTTTTTATTTTCTTTCCTGGCTTTTATTGAAAAGGTTTACTATTCTGTTGATTGGAAGATCATGAATTCTGTTGTAATTGTTGTTACAGTTCCCCTAGCTCACTGAAACTCTGTCTTATGTTTATATTTCTTTATTAATTAAATTTATTAAATTGGATGTAGATATCCTAAGCACTATCCTCAAAAGCACTCTCACTATCCTTCAGCTTCCCTTGCCTCCTCTATCTACCATCATTACTGTTGCACTGCTATTATGTAGAATTTCAAGTCTGAAATTTTGAATATGTTATGTAAAATTTTGTAAAAACAATATTTTCCTTAGCTACCACATATTATTTTTCTTTATATAGACCTTCACCTGAATTTTTTCTTCTTGAAAGTGTATCTATTCCAAGAGTAGTGTGATCATTTGTCTGAGTTTGCATGGGGCAGACCTAGTTTACCTAGATTGATAAGCACAATTATAGATATTCTTTAGTTGATCATTATTCAGCATTTAGCCATGCTAAGAAGTGTCACAGTTTAGATAATAAATTATACAATTACTCTATATAAGAATTTTTCAAAGCAGATAATAAATTAAACATTGTGAGACCTTGGCTTTCTCAGAATAATTTCCATTTTCAATTAAAAGACTTTTACCGACTATAAAATATAGGGTTGAGATTCAGTTCATTGGCAGTTTGAAGATTTTACTTCAGTGTTTCCCCACTTGTCATTGATAATGTTGAAGTCATTTGTTAATCTAAACTCAGTTCTACTGTAAATGATGGGTTCTTGTTTTTTTTCAAAAATATTTTAGATGTGATTTTTACATCATGAAGTTTTAATGAAATATGCTCAGTTGTGGGCTCATTCCTTATCTATCCCGTCTAGTATTTTTCAATCTAAAAATTATCTTTCTTTAATTTTAGAAGAGTTTTAGGTATTTTTTTCATATTTTTCCCTTTCATTTTGATCTTTTTCTGAAATCGAAATTAAATCTTGTTTTTTAGTTCTCTCCTTACAAATTCTGCTGTAAAAAAATCGTATTTTTCTTCTTACTTGATGTATTGCTCAACTTCTTACAGCCTACTCATTCATTTATTTTTCATTACTATATTCATTCTGCTCTATATTACAGCTCTTGGAAGCTTTATTTCATGTTTAATATTTTTATACTCAACATTTCCAATATATTATTTCTTAAAATTGCTTGTTATGTTTTTGTTACTAATATATTTTCCTTTATCTGTTTAGTATTTACCATAATTATTTTAAATTCTCAGACTCTCTGAATTAACATAGAGGGAGATAGAGACAGATAGAGATGATAAAGAAAGAGATAGATCTATCTATCTTGCTTAGAATACAGTATTAGGTTTCTCTTCTAAATTCTTAAAGAAATCGTTCTCAGATATTGGCATAGGTATATTAGATATCTTGGTTGTTACTGTCTACTCAGGGTGAGGAACTCAAAGACTAAGCAACAGCTTCTGTTTCTCAAGTGTTGTGTAAGGAGTGGTCTTAGGGCAGAAACCAGTAGGATCTTAGAAAACCTATGGTCCTACATTTGGGATACTGATATTTCTAAGAACTTTCTCCATCAGCTGTAATCCCTTAGGCAAAAAAAATGCGGGAGGAGATGGAGAAGAACTTGGTGTTTATGCTCTTACAAAATACTGTTCTTACATTTGTGATCTGAAAATATACATTTTCCCACTTGATAAAAAGACAAGATAATGACCATTCCAGGCAAGGTACACCTGAACTGTACACCAATGTGATGCTGCTCAGGCTTCCACTCTGGTTTGTGGTTACTCAACACTCTCTTACCCTGCAACATATCGAAGTCATTCTCACTTTCTTCTCTCAATTATCATTTTCTATGGCATTGGAATTATGGTATTGGGTACAGAGAATGGAGACAGTAGCACTTGTTAACTTGCCGTAATGTCAAGAACTAAAATATAGGTCTCTATCTCTGTTTCCCATGAAGATGCATTCCACACACGTGCACATGCAGACACACATATTTTGCCATTTCTTTATTCCTTGCTGGTGCTATCTTTACCTTATAGTCCAACTCACTAATTTATTATTTCAGCCATATCTATTGTATTATCTGTCCCCTATATGAAATGATATTTCTGATTTTTATTCTTTTATTCCAGGATCCTAAGAACCAAGGATATTCCTGTAGCTTTTTACAACTGTAATGCAATGTTGAGAGTCTCAGTTTCTAAAACTAGCCATGTGTTACCTATTCTTTAACTAGATTTCAGGAATTAGTTATAATAAAACAAACTGTTATCATGGAAAGTAAAACTAAGTCACAAGTTAGGGAGTTTACAAAATGTAAGGATTTCAAAATTTCACATTTTAGTATATGTCTTGCCTTTTTCAGTTTATGGAATTAGGATACTGACTTAAAAAATAAAATAGCTGATCTCTGAGATTCCTTTTGTCTATATTGCCGTACATTCTACTACCTCTAAAATATTTATTAAATTTTTGAATATTGTTTTCTCATTTCATGACTGTTTTTTAGAACAAAATTGCATTAATCAGGAATTAAATAGACTCCGGGATTAATTTTTCTATATAAATTTTATTCTTTGGAGAATTTGGGAAAGTTAATAAAAACTTCTGTGGCTATTCAGACTTGTCAAAGGTGATAAACAGTAATCATCCAGTAAGGAACTAATTAGAATCTCATAGTTCATCTAATTTAATGCCATATTTTACAGATGAGGAGAGCAAGGCCCAGAGAAGTTAAGTGACTCTCTTAAGGTTACATAGCACTTAATAGCATAGCTGGAACCAATGAAGAAATCACTTAAATTTCTTGGTCTGGTACATTATTTAACACAGCCTAGTTAAGTTCAAATGTTGCAGACTAATTTAATTTCTTTTTTTTTTTTTTTTTTTTGAGACGGAGTCTCGCTCTCTCACCCAGCAATTTTATTTCTTTGCACAATGTCAAGCAGTACAAATTAAGATAAGTTATACAAATAGGTTACAAAATTTAACGCAGTTTTTGTGTCTTAATCATCTTTAAAAATCAACTCTAACATTCTTACCTCTCCCAAATTACTTCTGATACTGTGAGCTGGAATCTTTATGACTTGAGTTTGCATAGTCATTTTTAAAAACAACCTACATCCTACTGTTATACTGGTCTCTATGTCCATTTCTTCCCCAATTCAGAAAGCACCCTGAAGGTGAAATTAATACCCCATTTGTTTCATTTTTTCTGCAAGATTAATATCAAACTCAGTAGAAATAGGTTCTGAAATAATTATTGAGTCAATGTACCTATTTGTTTATTTCAAAAATTTATGTTTGATTTCTGATAATCATTCTTATTTAACTTTGAAGTGTTTGCTTAAAATGTAAGGGTTATGGACTGAATTGTATCCCTGAAAGCTCATATGTTGAAGCCGTAACCTCTAGTACCTTAGAATTTGACTGATTTGCCCTTTAAAGAGATCATTAACTTAAAACAAAGCTATTGGGATGGGCCCTAATTAGAATGACTGTTCTAATATGACGAGGAAGAGACACCATGGATGTGTGGGCACAGAGGAAAGATCATGTGAGGACATAGGGAGAAGACAATCATCTTCAAGCCAAAAGGAGGCCTCAGCAGAAACCCACCCTGTTGGCATTTTGATTGTAGACGTCTAGCTTCCAGAATTGCAAGAAAAAATATTCTGTAGTTTAAGACACCCAATTTATAGTATTCTGATATGGCAGTCCAGCAAATTCATAGAGTATTACACTTTAAATATTTTAATTGAGATCAAAAATTTTAATTTTTCTATTTCATATTTTCTTTTAATAAAAGACATTTAGAATATTTCAAAACCAAAATTTGAAATCCACTTGATTTTTCCTGAAGGAAAAAACAATTATTACGAAAGTAGTAATCAGTAATCTGTTCTCCCAAGTGTACAAGACAAATCTTGTTTTATTGGGCTTCACTTCATTGCACTTCACAGATACTATGTTTTTTGCAAATTGTAGGTTTGAGGCAAACAAGAGGATTTAATTATCAGAAATCAAACTTATAAATTGTCACAATTAACAAATACATACATTGACTTAATAACTATTTCAGAAAAAAAAATTTATTATCATTATATCTGTTGTGGTGATCTGTGATCAGTGATCCTTGATATTACTATTGTAATTGTTTTGTGGCACCAGGAACCATGCTTATATAAGATGGCAACATAATCAATAAATGCTAGGTGTGTTCTTACTGCTCCAGTGACTAGCCATTTCCCAATCTCTATTCCTCGCCTTGGGCTACCCTATTCTCTAAGACACAGCTATATAGAAATTAGCCCAATTAGTGACCCTATAATGGATTTTAAGTGTTCAAATGAAAAGTCACACACCACTATCTTTAAAACAATAACTAGAAATGATTAAGATTAGAGAAAGGCATATTGAAAGCTAAGATAGGCTGAAAACTATGATTCTTGCACCAGTTAGCCAAGTTATAAATGCAAAACACAAAGTTATTAAAGGAAACTAAAAGTGCTACTCCATTGAACACAAGATGATAACAAGTCAAACAAACTTATTGATAATATGAAGAATGTTTTAGTGGTCTAGATGGAAGATCAAACCAGCCACAACATTCCCTTACGCAAAACCCTAAAACAGAACAAGATTTTAACTCTTCAATTCTATGAAGGCTGAGAGAGGTGAGGAAGCTGCAAAATAAAATTTTGAAACTAGGCCAGGTGCAGTGGCTCACGCCTGTAATCCCAGCATTTTGGGAAGCGGAGGCGGGCGGATCACCTGAGATCAGGAGTTCAATACCAGTCTGGCCAACATGGTGAAACCCCGTCTCTACTAAAAATACAAAAAATTAGCTGGGTGTGGTGGCGGATGCCTATAATCCCAGCTACTTGGGGAGCTGAGGCAGGAGAATCGCTTGAACCCGGGAGGTGGAGGTTGCAGTGAGCCGAGATCGCACTATTGCACTCCAACCTGGGTAACAAGACCGAAACTCCATCTCAAAAAAAAAAAAAAATTTTTTTTTGAAGCTAACAGAAGTTAGTTCATGAGGTTTAAGGAAAAAAGCCATCTCCATAACATAAAAATGCAAGGTCAAGCAGCAAGTGCTGATGTAGAAGTCGCAGCTCTTTATCTAGAAGATCTAACTAAGATCATTGATTAGGTGGCTACACTCAACGATAGATTTTTAATGTGAACAAAACAGTCTTATATTGGAAACTATGCTATCTACAAATTGTATAGCTAGAGATAATTCAAAGCCTATCTTCAAAGCTTTAAAGGACAGGCTGACACTTTTTGGAGAAGTGCAGCTGGTGACTTTAACTTGTAGTCAATGCTCATTTCCTTGAAAACACTATGGCCCTTAAGAATTATGCTGTCTGTGCTCTATAAATGGAACAAAAAAGCCTGGATGACAACACATCTTTCTACAATATGGTTTACTAAACGTTTTAAGTTCACTGTTGAGACCTACTGCTCAGAAAGAAAAAAAAAAAACCTTTCAAAATATTGCCGCTCGTTGACAATGCACCTGGTCCCCCAACAACTCTGATATAGATGTACAAGGAGATTTATGTTGTTTCATGCCTGCTAAAAAAACATCCATTCTTCAGCCCATGGTCAAGGGGTCATTTCAACTTTCAAGTATTATTATTTAGAAAATACTTTTTTTTTTTTAAAGCTACAGCTGGCATAGGTAGTGATTCCTCTGATGGATTTGGTCAAAGTAAACTGAAGATTTCCTAGAAAATATTTACCATTCTACATGCCATTGAGGAAATTCTTGACATATGGGAAGAGGTCAAAATATCAATACAAATAAGAGTTTGGATGAAGTGGATTCCAACTTTATTGATGACTTTGAGGGGTTCAAGATTTCAGTGGAGGATTTAACTACAGATGTGGTAGAAATAGCAAAATAACTAGAATTAGAAGTGAAGTCTGAAGATGCAACTGCTATTGTTTCTATGCCCTTTCAGTAGATACAGCAAGGGAATGTGTTTGTGCATACTAATCTGTGTGTGTGTGTGTGTGTGTGTGTGTGTGTGTGTATATTATATATGTGTATGTATATGCATATTTATAAACATTTCTGTATTTAACCTTCTGTATGCTGACCTAAATATGATCTCAAACCAATGTATCTTGCCTTTCCTCTTTGATTATATGAAATCTCCCACTCCGTACGTGAGAATAATTATTCTTACCATCTTCCATCCATTTATTTAACTGTTCATTTCTAGTAAAGATGTCCAGTGTCAGTGATACCAGAATTGTTGAACCATATCTCCAATGAAAACAACTTTATCAACTATATATATAATACAGTACTTATATCAATTTCTACAGGCCTTTAATTCCATAGACTCCACTCATTTCCAAGGTTACTTAGATCAGCATCTTACCCCTACTTCTTCAGTGAAGATTTTAATATAATTATAATAAAGTTAGATTATTTTGTCACATTCTACAGAATACTCCAGCTTGAGTTTTTTAAAACTTGCATGTATTAAGGTTTATTCTTTTTGCTGTATAGTTCTATGGATTTTGACAAATGTATAGTGTAATTCACCCACCTTTACTGTATCATACAGAATAGTTTCAGTGCTCTAAAATTTTCTCATTGTTCAAATTATTTTTTGGTCTAGTCACCATGAGTTAAACATAAGACATAATGTGGAGCCCAATTTTCATTAGGAAAGAGAGACTGATCGTTTCAATTAAGAGCAATGACACAAGCAAAAATGTATGAGGACACAATGCATAAAATACATTCAGGAAGAAACTAATAGGCTAGACTTTGAGAAGCACTTGGTTGATTTTACACAGAAGAATTCTTGAGAATTATATTAATCATATAGGTTGCAGCCAAGTGCCCTTAGAAAACCAACCAAATACTTTTAACATTTTATTCTTATGGATTTGAGCTATTAAGGTTTGGGAAAGTAAACTCTCTAGTCTACAAAAACTTTAGCACATACCTAGTTTGAATACCCGTGTAAGAAGCCACTGACTCGTTGTTATCACATAAATAAATATGGCAGGAATCTGGAATTGTATTTCTTTCTAAAAAGGGATGGCAATGAATCATTCTCCTGTGGTTTTCTAAAATTCCTAATTCAGTAAAGATAAATATCACATTTTTCTGATGTTTTCATTTACAATTCTGTCAATTAGCACTGCTCAGAAATGCACTAAATAGTCTCCAAGTGGCTTGGAAGAGTTAATGTCTCCCCAAATGCCTAATTTGCTACTCAGCATTGACAGAGACATAGAAGCAAACAGATACCACTAGTGTTTAGTAGCACTGAAATAAAGTGAAAAAGAATCTAAGCATTTTCTTTTGTCTCTTTAGGGCATTATTTCTGTCTACTGTTCACCCGCTCTAATTATCCTGGCAGCTCACTTAAATTACATTATTTCTGCTACTAAGAAGATGAGCCAGATTTTCCCCAGTGCCGATGACATAGTATCATCAACAGAAAAGTCTTGATGATACCCTAGTGACTTCAAAGTGTTAATCCATCTCACTGGATGCTTATCTGGGTTCCAAGGAATGACATGCCCCGGGGTGAATTTGGCTCAATGAAATATGGCTTTAGCACGTGCAAGCAACAGTACTGTTCAATTTGTTTTTCTTATATTTACATTAGGTAAGTGTTGGCAATGAGACTTAGATTTTGAAGCAAACATAACACTATGCCTGCTGCTCATGTTGGGCTGTTTTCAGGTCAATTAGTGCCTCCCAAATTCTTAAAGCAGGTGCTAATCTGGTGCTTAAACTGAGACATTGGCATATTTTCTCTGTAAAGAGAAGTTGGAAGTGCTTTGTATAAGAGTTTAAGAGGATAGATTAATAAACAAATGCTTTACTTTCCCTTTTAAATTTAATTTTTTAAAAAAGTAAAAAATATTTAAAATTAAAGCTTAGTTTAAAACTATCTTAAGCAGCTTTACTCTTAAAGAGAAAACGTAAATGGCATAGTTTGATTTGATTCTCCATATTAATTTTTTATCTCTAATTTGGACTCAGTCCTTGTTTACACCAGTGAATTAATGAGTAAAACTCAATATCTTCTTCAATGTAGGTTCCTTCTTTCTAATGGGAATATGTCATGAAGAGTACCCCATGAACAAAATTGTGTTTCAGAGATAATTGTAAAAAAAAAAAAAGAAAAGAAAAATACTGTGTGAATATACAAGTACATTCCATTTATAGGAAATCATTCATCAAATTTCTATAAAAACTGTACTAAAGTCTCATACCTGTTAGGGATTTGTATTAAAGAGAAAGATATCATATAGGCCCTGAGCTTAAGGCATGCAAAGTCCAGGAGGGGAGATAGAAACAAATTATAATACACTGTGAGAGCCCCAGCAGCTATCATACCAAGCATGCAAGAGGACCATGGATGATCAATTCTATCAGGGTTTCTCAGACACTGGACTAGCTTTCTCAAAGGAATAATACCTGAAGCAGATTATGAAATGTAAAAGTTAAATTTTTTAAATTTTTAAGAGTATTGGAGAGTAAAGCAGCCTGAGCAGAAGAATAACAACAACAACAACAAAAAAAAAAAACAAACAAAAACAAAACATGTTCAACAACAGGAAGAAACTGACATTTGCTTGGAGAATACAAAAGCTGTAGAGTGCTATTGGTATAAAATCAGTAAGACAGGTCAGCAATGTGGGAGTTAGGGTTAGACATTTTAGGAACCAAATAATGACGTGACTCACATTACATGTTAACCAGCTTAAAATGTTTCTGTGATGAAGTAGTTCTTATAATTCAAAATGCAAAGATAACCTCAGGGAGTTTGTTAAAATGCAAATTCTAAACTCAAACCTCAGAGACTCTGATTTAGCAGGTCTGGTTAAAACCAAAGATTCTGTACTTGTAGCAGATCCCACAGATTATTTGGAGACATACCAGTGTTCTCATCATTTTTGAGACTATGTATTTTACCAAAGTGCCAGTTATTCTGGCAGATAAATTAAAATATTTTTAATTTGATAGAATGATAATAGTTTAGATAATTTAATAACACTTAATATTTCTTGACTACTTACTGTGAGCTAAACATTCTAAGTTCTAAGTGATTGATATATATTAGCTCATTTTCTTCTCAAATTAATATTAAAAATAGGTAACATAACTAACTCCCTATATAGATGGGCGCCTGAAGGACAGAGGCTGCTTTTCATTGGCATCTCTTCTGAAGCTTCATTTCCCTCTGATTTCCCCACTCTGTTAATTAATTTACCACTCCGTTTGTTGACATCTCTGATCTGCTGTTACCTTACCACTTACTCTGTAGTTTTACATGATTATTTATGTCTTTAATTCAACTGCCACTATCACTGAATTTCAGTAGGGAGTAAAAGTAAATCCCTGTATCCGTGATGTTTAACCAGGTATCTGCCAAGCATTTTTCACATAAGAAAAATTCTATGATTTTTTTTTTGTTTTATTGGCTTGCTGTCTAAGTCATTGTTGATGTTGACAACAAAGAGCGGTTAAGCCCAGTGGGGTAGTCCAGGTCTCCTAAAAAGCAGATGTCAAGTTGGGATTAGATATTAAAAATATTAGGAGAAAGGCTGGCCTGGCATGGTAGCTCACGCCTGTAATCCCAGCACTTTGGGAGGCCGAGGCGGGTGGATCACGAGGTCAGGAGATCGAGACCATCCTGGCCAACAGGCTGAAACCCCATCTCTACTAAAAAAAAAATACAAAAAAATTAAATGGGGGTGGAGGCACATGCCTGTAGTCTCAGCTACTCAGGCGGCTGAGGCAGGAGAATTGCTTGAATCCAGGAGGCAGAGGATGCAGTGAGCCAAGATCGCCACTGGCGACAGAGCGAGACTTTGTTTAAAAAAAAATATATATATATATATATATTTTTTTTTTTTTTGTTTAAAAAAATATATATATATATATGAGAGAGAAAAAGGCTTCTGAAGTGAAGTGCATGATGCCAGGACAGCTGGGAGATATGTCAAGACCACTGCACAGGCCTAACCTTTCTAAGGGAGGAAGGGAAAGAAGATGAAGTAGGAGAATCTTAGACTGCAGTGTGATTCTAACAGTTCGTCAGGGTTCATGTGGATTCCTTGAGCCACACTTGCCCACCAGAGGGATTGATTATTCATCTTCTAGGAATGGGCCAGATTTAGTATCACTGCTATGTTGAAGCATTGGCTAGAAGTGGCCCATGAGAAACATTTTACCGGTGAAACATAGAGATGGAATTCAGAGGGCAATAGCAGCATCACAATCTCTGAAGATAGAAGTCTGAGGGTAGACTTTCATGGCCACCAAAGCTAACAATGATCAACAACCTATATTAAATAAATATTAATTTTCTCTCTATATGTATCACTTGTGTAACTCCTGAATCAATAAAAAGCTGCCAGATAGAATATTGCTTTTACCTTTCCTTATAGGCATGTCTATACAAAGGAGACAGTGGATCTGAATTGGTTTAAATTATTTTGTATCAGGTTCTCTAAGAAACACAGATTAACAAGAGTTCTGCCTCTACCTGGTCTCCTGCCTTAAGCCAAATGACTTTTTGATTAAAAAGATTTTACTGTGCAAAAGGATGAAGAAACACTGATTAAATGGAGCAGACTTGAGGGAGAGATGATGAAGACAAACGTCTTCAGAAACCAAATCATTGCTAGATTACCAGATACTTAGAGGAATTGGATCTAAAAACAATAGTTATTCATATTTTTGCTTATTTTTCACTTAAGATATTTATGTATTTATTTTTGCTATCGAATAATGTGAATTCTTTATATATTTGGAAATTAACCCTTTATCAGATATATGATTTGCAAATATTTTCTACCATTCTGTAGCTTGCCTTTTCATTTTGTTGATTGTTTTCTTTGTTTACAGAAACTTTTTAGTTTGACGCAGTACTACTCATTTGTTTTCACTTTTGTTTCCTATATTTTTGATATTATACTGAAAACGTCATATTATACTGAAAACTAATATCAAGGATTTTTTTCTGTTTTCTTTAGGTTCAGGTCTTACATTTAAGTCTTTAATCCATTTCCACCTAGTTTTTAGTATAGTATAAGGCAAGTGTCCAATTTCATCCTTTTGCATGTGGTTATCTAGTTTTCCCAACACCTTTTACTCAAGGGACTATTATTGCCACATTGTATATTGGTGCCCTTGTCAAAGATCAGTTGACTGTATATACCTGGGTTTATTTCTGAACTCACTGTCAGGTTATATTGTTCTGTATGTCTATTTTTATGCCAGGAACATACTGTTTTGATTACTGTAGTGCTGTTATGTGATTTGTTATCAGGGAGTATAATATCTCTACCATTGTTCTTCTGGCTCAAAATTTTTTTGGTTATGCCAGTTTTCTGTTTCTAAGAGAATTTTATGATTTTTTTCTACTTGTGTAAAATATGCCATTGGATTTTTTATTGGGTCTACATTGAACCTGTAGTTAACTTCGTGTAGTATGAACATTTAAACAATATTAATAGTCCCAATTGATAATTTTTTAAAAGTATCTTTTTATGTATTTGTGTCATCTTCAATTTCTTTTATCAATATCTTGTAGTTTTTACTGTACAGATTTTTCAACACCTTCATTGAATTTATCCCTAAGTATTTTTTAATGCTATTGTAAATGAAATTTTTAACTTTTTTCAGATTGTTTGTTGTTAGTGTATGGAAATGTAACTGATTTTGTATGTTGATTTTGTATCCGGCAACTTTACTGAATTCATGTATTGGTTTTAAGATTTTTTTTTGGTTGAGTTGTTAGGGTTTCTTTATATAAGATTGTGTCATCTGCAAACAGAAACAAGGTAACTTCTTCTCTTCTGATTGGGATGCCTTTATTACATTTCCTTGCCTAATTGCTCTGGCTAGAATTTCCACTATTGTGTTAAATAGAAGTGGTGAGAGTAGGCACCTTGTCTTGTTCCAGTTCTTAGAGAAAAAAATAGACATTTTTCCAAAGAGGAAATCCAAATGGCCAACAGAAATATAAGGTGCTCAACATAACTATCACCAGGGAAAAGCAAATAAAAACCACAATGAGATATCACCTCATCTCTCTTTGACTATTATCAAAAAGAGAAAAACAAGTGTTGGCAAAAATGTACAAAAAAGGGAGCTCTGAAACTGTTGGTGAGAATGTAAATTGGCACAGCCATTATGGAAAAGCACTACGGAGATTCCTCAAAAAAATTAAATATAGAACTACCAAATGATCCAGTAGTCCAACTACTGGGTATATATCCAGAGGAAATAAGATCACTATTTTGAAAAAAAAATTGCATTCCCATGTTCATTGTGGCATTATTCACAAAAGTCAATATATGAAAACAACATAAATGTACATCTAGATGAATAGATAAAGAAAATGAAATATTTCTGTCATAAAAAAGAGGGAAATACTGCCATTTGTGACATTAATCAACCTGGAGGACTTTACACTGAGTAAAATAAGTCAGTTAACAGAAGGACACATACCATATGGTTTCACTCTAAGTGAAATCTAAAAAATATTAAAGACTTAGAAGCAAAGAGTAGAAGAATAGTTGCCAGGAGCTGAAGGTGTCAGGGTGCAGTAAGGGAAATGGGGAGATATTGGTCAAAGGGTACAAACTTTTAATAATAAAGAATGTGAGCAAAACTAAACTAGAGGACATTGAAGAAGAAATAGATAAATTGTACATTTCACTTGGTAAAGAGTTTTGGAAGTGAAGTATATAGATCTTGAACAGGAATCATAATCTAATTATAATCCACTCTCAGATTTTCACGAAGTAGATGTTAAAATAAAATAATTGGCAACACATATATACCATTTAATACATGAAAAAGAGAGATTAAAATCCAGGATGTATATATGTGTATTTACTGGTCTTAAGGAGAAATATTAGGATTTTCTCTCACTTAAGCTATCAAACTAAGATAACCAATAATGCCTACACAGAGTGTTTTCCCTCTCTTCTATCTCATCATTCCTAGCCACTTAAGGTTTAATTAAATTAATTTCATAGCAAGTTAGCCTGTTTTTCCTTTATTTTTAGTTTCTTGTATTGTTTCCATGTGTTATATTTTAAATTTTTTGAATCTATTGAAAATTCTAAATATTATTTTCTTTCTCTCACTGGCTAAATTTAATTCTTTATAAATTTTGCTATATTCCTCACTATCTAAACCTTTTCTCATTAAGAATGCTTAACATTTCTTTTTCTCCTCTGTAATTAATATTTTTGCATCAATTAATTAATTAATTGATTATTTCTTTTTAAACTCTTTGCCAAGCTTTGCAATCAACAAATAAGTCAAGACCTTCACCTTCATTTCACTTAGATTCTAGTATGAAAAGGGAAGCTATTTACTTGTATTCAAATAAATAAAATGATACATTATTATATCTAAGGAGAGGAATAAATAATGAAATGTGATAAAGTAAACAGGATGGCCAAATTTGGATAATGTTTTTCTTAAATTTATTTATGAAAATGTGTTAAAATTAATTTTCAGCATATTGGATACTGCTGACATATTCTATTACTAACTCTTTGTTCTAAGTATGTCATAAATCAGTGTTTGATAAATACACTTTATTGCTACTTTTATTACATTTAATTTAGTTCCACCTGGTATCTGCATAATTTGAACAATAGGCAAAAATACTAAAATAAATGTTAACACCCACGATAACTGCGTTTAGTCTGAGGGATTTGGACCCCAAGTTTTCTGCTAAAGGACGAATTACTTCAGCACTTCTTCTATTATCAATGAGAAATTCCTGAATACAGGAAAGATGGCTGGCTCTGCACCAGTGGGCTCATCCCACTGGGTGTTTGCTGTCAGTCCAGGTTCCTTGGTGTGTGTCCCAGCTAAGATGTGCTGAACTGGCTAAAATGATATTTGGCAGCAATGCATTCTAAAGCTTGTTTTGGAGAGAATAAAGCTTACAGGGCTATTTGATTTCTTGTGCCCAGTAAGAAATAGCAGTAGCATGTCTTCAGATTTAACCAAAGGTGGGTACTGCAGCCCTCTGTCAGCTAATGATTGAATTACACAAAATCCCTCCACAATTTACATCAAATCAGTTGTGCCTATTAATAAATAATAATCAATATAAGTAGGGAATAGAAAATAGTGTGTAATGTTGGGAAATTGACTTAAAGCTGTTTATTCATTTGAATGTGGCTAACATTATCTTCATCACAGTACTTTTTTGAAGATTAAGTGCTATAACATATATGAAATCACAAACCATGCGACTTCTCAAGAGGCAGGTGTTTTGTTCATTTACTTCAGTTGTCTTTTTTTCTGGGTCTTTTTTAAAACAATTGCATGACTTTGTGTGAAGGATTTGAACTTTCTGAGTCTCTATTTTCCCATTTAAAATAAAACGATGAATTGAATGATCTTTTGTCCTTCTGCCTTATAATTCCTCGTCTTTGATTTAAATACATATATACATATAGCTTCTAAAAGAATTGACTTCTAATTAAGGGAACTGATTTACAAAGTAGTCAACACTCCTTTCCTTTAACTGTGTCAATAGAAGATGACCTCTGTAATAGAGTTCCATTGACACAAAAGCTTCCAAGCTGATAGAAAGCAGATGTGTTGTATTTGAAATCTACAGTTATTTCTTCTTTAAAAGGTAGCCAACTTCTTTAAAATTAAGGATTTTAAAGTTAAAAAAATTCTGATATCTCCTCAAAATAGCTGCACATTCTATCAAGTTGAATGGCAGCATTCAGCTGGAGTAGGAGTCATTTGCCTCTTTGGAAGATGTATTACCCTTTTTCAGAGACCTCTTTTGTTCCTTTTTTGTCTTCCAATCTCACTCCTCAATGACCTCCCGAACCTCATAGTCACTTGAATTTTTTTGCCCCCAGCCTAGAGGTTTGGGGAGAGGAGCTGAAAATCCTTTGACACCGCATTTTCACTCTTTATATGTATTTTTTAAATACAGTTTGTCGAGGGAGGCTGAGGCAGGAGAATCGCTTGAACCTGGGAGGTAGAGGTTGCAGTGAGCCCAGATCACGCCTTTGGGCGATAGGGCGAGACGCTGTCCCAAAAAATACAAATAAAAATAAATAAAATAAAATACAGATTGTTGAAAAAAAAAATTGAAGGCTTAATTATTTCAAAAAGTAATTGTTTTTCCAAAGAAAGAAAGAAAGAACAATGAAAAATGTGTTATCTTTAACGTAGTCATATTAAAATATTTTCACAAATTTTACTCGGGACATGGAATGCCAGCTGAGAGAATACTGACATCTGATAACTAAACAATCTCATTGAGGTTTAAATATTTTGGGAAATGTTTTTTAAAGCACTGAACTTGAACTTGCAATCATACATTTTTGAAGTGAAAGAAAACATTGTACATAACATATAGCTTTCAAATTTCCACATATCCGTAAATGTAGCTCCTTTCTGAAATTTTAGAAATAATACTATATTCTTCCATTCTTCCACACTTATGAAACTTTCTATATACAGGAATTTCAATTTCCAGAAATTTTCTTTTGAATCTCATTAACAAGTCAATGGTTAGTTCTTCACCATGGAAAAGGTGCATTTGAGACGGAGTTTCACTCTTGTTGCCCAGGCTGGAGTGCAATGGTGTGATCTTGGCTCACCACAACCTCCGCCTCCGGGGTTCAAGTAATTCTCCTGCCTCAGCCTCCCGAGTAGCTTGGATTACAGGCATACACCACCAAGCCTGGCTAATTTTTTTGTATTTTTAGTAGAGAAGGGGTTTCTCCATGTTGGTCAGGCTGGTCTCGAACTCCCAATCTCAGGTGATTTACCTGCCTAGATGACTCTATTGAGATGAGGTATGCAAATACTGTATTCCTATGAGTTATTTCTTCTGGATGAAGGAATTTTCACCTATTGAGAGTAAAATCCAGTGGGATATGTTTAAATGACCCCCCAAAAAATTAAGAGAACAAAAATAACATGTAGTCAGTGCTAGTTGGCCCTGTATATAAGTGGGAGTATGTAAAAGAATATTATCCAGTTTCTTTTAAAATAAACCAATTTTTCAAATTCATCAAATACTATTTCATATTCACTGTTTCATTTCATTAAACTTCATTTCCATATTTATTTAGGAAATTATTCAAGAACTATAGTTACTGAGGAAGTAGTCAGGTATTTAGCAATCACAAGGAAGCTTTGCTGATTCATCTCCATATTATAACACTGTGGGATTTTCATACTCAACTAATTGCACTGCATATTTGATGATTCAACCACCAATTCCACTGATACAGCTGCACACTTTGATGTTACAATTGCTGAGTTTTAAACTATGCTACAGGTTGTGAAGCTTGATTTTCTGATTAGGTTGCCAGGTTTAATAATTGAGCGCTAAATGTAGCACAATTTATTAATCAGGTCCTAGTCATTATTAGCAAAAGTTGAATTTTTTTAACTCTGGAGTTTTCTTGTTTCCTGATTTTATTTATTCATCTTTTAAGTTTAATTAATACAAATTTTACAGAAAGATTTAGTGCCAAAATCATGATATGCCTTATATTAAGTATTTTATACAATGCATTTATTATTATAAAATAATCAACAGAAATTTAGTTAAATATTTCTTTGTAATATTTTACAATCTCTTATTTTCCTACCCTCAAAGTACATTTCTATATTTTCAATATATCGTATAATGTAGCTATGGAAATATAATATAAAATTTATATACATATCAGTGTGTATGTGTATGAGAATATATTTGGAAATATACACTTATTTATGATATGGGGCTAATTTATAGTAAAGGTTTCTTAGAAAGTAAAATAAATAAATCTGATCGATTCAATATTACACTGTTTATTATTCATAAAATGTTTTTCTCACAGTTGCTGGGGTTAAAAATTTTCGGTTATGCAAGTTGAAATAGTTCAAGAGGTCTGCTGTATAACATTGTGCTTATAGTTAACAATACTGTTCTAAAAACTTAAAAATTTATTAAGGGGATAAATTTCATGTGACATGTTTTTTACTACAATAAAAATGACAATAATGGTAAACATATTTGTATAAAATTAAAAGATAGGTATAACTCAACTATAGATGGAATAATCAGCACAGTTAGGAAATTTCAGTATAGTCAAGAAGTCAGGATACTTGTTACTTTTGAAAGGAGGATTGGGAAAGGCACAAGGGATTATCTGGGGTACTCAAAATGAGAGATTTGCTGACCTTAGTAGTTGATGGCTTTTTAAAAAAATTCATTGCACTTCATGTTTTGTGTACTTTGCTGTGTGTATCATATATTTCAATATAATAGCTAAACTACTATTTTTAAATAATAAATATCACCTAATTATAGTTATATTACAGTGGAAATAATAACATTCTTACTCACTGAAGTAGTAATTTTGGGCATTTACTATATAATGAAGACACTCAGATCAGCAAGGGATATAGAAAAAAAAAAAAAACAACAGTCAAGTGAAAGCTGTATAAATCCTCTGCTGGGGCTGTGCACACAGTGCTTCAGGAACAGAGATGTAAAGCATGTTGGAAATTGATCAGGGAAGATTTTTCAGAGTAAGGAGACATAAAGAGAAAGAATGATTGGCATTTACAAGACATAAGGGGAAAAGGACACTCCAAATAAAGGAAACAACATGTGAAAAGGCAACGATACGAAGGTTCATGGATATCTGGGAACATCATTGCTGCAGGCAAATGGTTGTTTCCATATTCTAAGATTACGTATTGACTTTTAGAGAGCATGTGAAGTTCTAGTCCTCATCATTAATTAATACTCCCTACTAAAACCATGTCTTTATATTATGACATAACTCAATTGACTAATAAAGATTTAAGATATCTTTAAATAGTGGTGTGCTTTATTATTTTTAAAGAGCCTGTTTCTTCTATTTTCTGACCCTTACATAAATTAAGTGAAGATGAAGGGTAAGTATTATCCTAAGTTCAAAATTGGATGCTGATGTAGTGATTTGTTCAGCAACACAAACTGAGTAAGTGATAAAGATGAACCCTTAAATAAGATTATTTTAGTCTAGGAACTGATATAGTATAAACTGTAGAGGATTTGAATTAGGAAGTTTCCATATTAGAGTCCAAACTCTACCAATTAGGTGGTGGATAATGTTTTGGGATTTTATTTAAACTTCTCTGAGTTTTGTCTCCTAATCTATGAAATAATATTAGCTGGTGAGAGAATTTAAAAGAAAAACATATTTTTAGTCACTTGGCACATATTAGATAACCAATAATATTAATATTTCTATCACTCTAAGTCGCATGTTTATAGAAATTATGTAAACAGAACCATCAATTAAATTACACCCTACAGAAGATATGCATTAGTGGACCTATATTTCCATTACCACAATAACAGAAGGTGTATTGCAAATGAGGTTTTTTTTAATGTTTTTCTTTTTATCTTAAAGCAATGAGGCACCCAATCACAAAATTGATACACCAGATTACCAAAATAAAGTTTTATTTTATTTATTTATTTATTCAATAAGGCAACTCTCCAGAGAAATAAACCTTTATTGTTGCTATCCATGGAGATTTTGGGATTATTAGTTACACAGCATACCTTACAAAAGATGATTATAGAGTTGTATTTTTACTGGTGTATGGTATTATATTTCTTTTTTCCTGTTTTCTTGCCATACAAAATATATATTTTTTATTTCAATAGCTTTAGGGGTACAATTGGTTACCCAATAGGTAGTGTTTCCTGTCTAACCCCCTTTCACCTCCCTGCTTCTGAGCCTCCAATGTCCATTATATCACTCTGTATGCCTTTGGGGACCCAGAGCTTAGCATCCACTTTAAGTGAGAATTTGCAGTATTTGATTTTCGATTCCTGAGTTACTTTACTTAGAATAATGCCCTCCAGTTTCATCCAAGTTGCTGCAAAAGGCATTATTTATTTATTTTTATGGCTGGGTAGTATTCCATGGTATATGTACCACATTTTATTATCCACTGATCAGTTGATGAGCACTTAGGTTGATTCCACATCTTTGCAATTGTGAATTATGCTGCAATGAACATATGCATGCAGGTGTCTTTTTAATATAGTGACTTCTTTTCCTTTGGTTAGATACCCAGTAGAGATTGCTGGATCAAATGGTAGATTTACTGTTAGTTCTTTGAGAAATCTCCATTCTATTTTCCATAGGGGTTGTACTAATTTACATACCCGCCAATAATGTATAAGCATTCCTTTTTCACCACATCCATGACAACATCTATCGTCTTTAGACATTTTCATAATGGTCATTCTGCCTGGAGTAAATGGCATCTCATTTTGGTTTTAATTTGCATTTCTCTGATGATTAATGATGTTTAGCATTTTTTCATATGTTTATCGGCCATTTGTGTATCTTCTTTTGAGGAGTGCCTATTTATGTCTTTTTGCCACTCTTTAATGAAATTATTTGTTTTCTTCCTGCTGATTTGTTCAAGTTCCTTGTAGATTCTGGATATTAGTCCTTTGTTGGATGTATGATTTAAAAATATTAATTTTTCTCTCATTTTGTAGATTGTATGTTTAATGATAATTTCTTGTGTTGTGCAGAAGCTTTTTAGTTTAATTATGTCCCATTTTTATATTTTTGTTTTTGTTGCATTTCGTTTTGGGATCTTATTCATGAATTATTTGCCTCGGCCAATGTCCAAAAGGGATTTTCCTAGATTTTCTTCTAGAATTTTTATGATTTTAAGTTTTAGATTTAAGTCTTTAATCCACCTTGAGTTAATTTTTGTACATGATGAGAGACAGTTATCCAATTTCATTCTTTTATGTGGCTATCCAATTTTCCCAGTGCCACTCACTGAATTGAGTACCCTTTTCCCAATTTACATTTTTGCATGCTTTATTGAAGAACAGTTGTTTGTAAGGATTTGTCTTTACTTGTGGGTTCTCTATTCTGTTCAGCTGGTTGATGTGTATACTTTTATACCAGTACCATGCTGCTTTGGTTTCTATATCATTGCAGTATAGTTTGAAGTTGGGTAATGTTATGACTCTAGATGTGTTATTTTTGATTAGGATTGTTTTGGCTACTTAGGTCCTTTTTGGTAGCATATTAATTTTAGCATTTTTCTAATTCTGTGAAAAAATAATGTTGATATTTTGATAGGAATTGCATGGAATCTATAGATTCCTTTTGGTATCTACAGTATATAAAGTATAGTAATTTTCATATTGATTCTTCCAGTCCATGAACATGAAATGTATTTCCATTTGTTTGTGTCTGTGATTTCTTTCAGCAGTGTTTTTTAGTTCTCTTGTAGAGATTTTTCTATCCTTAGATAAGTATATTTCTATGTATTTTAGGTTTTTTTTTCAGCTGTCATAAAAGGGATTGAGTTTTTGATGTGATCCTTAGCTTGGTCATTGTTGGTGTGTGAAGTGCTACTGATTTGTTTACATTGATTTTATAAACTGAGATCTTACTGAATTCATGTATCAGAATTAGGAGTCTTTTAGAGAAGTCTTTAGTGTTTTCTAGGTATAAGATCACATCATGCAAACAGAGATAGTTTGACTTCCTCTTTTCCAAGAGGAAGTCCATGCTTTTGGATATCCTTTATTTCTTTATCTTGCCTGATTGCTCTGGCTAAGATTTCCAGTACTATGTTGAAGAAAAGTGGTAAAAATGGGCATCCTTATCTTGTTCCAGTGGTTAGGGGAAATGCTTTCAACTTTTCTCTGTTTGGTATGATGTTGTCAGTGGATTTATCATATATGACTTTTCTTACTTTTAGGTGTGTTTCCTTTATGCCTAGTTTCTTGAGGGTTTTTATTATAAAGAGATGCTAGATTTTATTAAATGTTTTTTATGCATCGATTGAGATGATCATATGGTTTTCTCTTTAATTCTGTTTATGCACTAAATCATATTTATTAATTTGAATATATTGAACCATCCCTACATCTGTGTAGTTGCTTTAAAGCCTATTCTATTTTATCTGATATAGGAATAGCTACTCCTCCTTGGTTTCCATTTTTGTGAAATATTTTTTCCACTCCTTTACCTTGAGTCTGTGAGATTCCTTACGTGTTCCATGTGTCTCCTGAATACAGAGCTTTTTGATTTTTTATCCATCCTGCCAATCCTCTATCTTTTAAGTGGAGCATTTAGATCATTTACATTCAATGGTAATATTGGGTGTTGAGGCACTATAGCAGTTATCATGTTGATTGTTACCTAAGGACTTTGTTTTCTTCACTATGTTATTGCTTTATAACCTTTTGAATTTTCTGCTTTCAGTAGTTTGTATTCTGGTCAGTTTCGACCTTTTGTTTCAAGATTTAGAGTGCCTTTTAGCATTTGTTGTAGGGCTGACCTAGTATTGACAAATTTCCTCAGAATTTGCTTGTCTGAGAAATAATTTATTTCTCCATTTCTGAAACTTATTTTTGTTGAATATAAAATCCTTGGCTGACAGTTATTCTATTTGAGGAGACTAAAAATAGAACCCCAATTCCTTCTGGCTTTTAAGGTTTCTGCTGTGAAGCCTGCAGTTAGTCTGATAGGTTTTCCTTTGTAAGGTTACCTGATGTTTTTGTCTCACTGCTCTTAGAATTCTTTCCTTCACATTGATTTTAGATAGCCTAATGACTGGATTCATTAGTGATGTCCTTTTTACAATGAGTATCCCAAGAGTTCTTGTATCTCCGTTGAGCTTCTTGTATTTGAATGTCTAAATCACTAGCAAGTCCAGGGAAGTTTTCCTCAATTATTTTCTGAAGTAGGTTTTCCAAAGTTTTTGCTTTTTCTTTTCCCTCAGGAACATCTACAATTCTTAACTTTGTCCATTTGATATTATTCCATATTTATTGAAGACTATTTCTTTTGATTCTTTTTTGTTTGTTTGTTTGATTGGTTTACATTTGAAAGCCTTATCTCCGAGCTCTGATTTTTTTTTAGCTTGGTCTAATCTATTGTTAAAATTCTCCATTGCATTTTGCAGTTTCATAAATGTCTCTTTTATTTCCAGACAGTCTGATTGGTTTTTCTTTAAAATATCTATCTCTTTATAAAATTTTGCATTTATATCCTGAATTGCTTTTGTGTAAATTTCTTTATGTTGGTCTTCACTATTCTCTTGTATCTCCTTGAGTAACTTAATAATCAACCTTTTAAATTCCTTATCTGTTATTTCAAGGATATCACCTCAGTTTGAATCCACTACTAGAGAGTTACTGTGATCTTTAGGAGGTGTTATAGAACCCTGCTTCTTCACATTGACAGAATTATTTTTCTGGCTCCTTCTCATTTGGGCAGGCTGATTCTTCTAAGTATTTTTAAATTTATTTTTTATTCAACTGGTTTTTTAGAAAAAAATATTTATCCTCCCTGCAGATGTGACTTTAATGCTTATAGTTTATTTTCATCTAGTTTCAGCTCTGGGTGCTTTCAGTGGTGAAGAGTCAGAATCAGTTCCATGATTATAGAGTTTGTGTGATGGCTTTCTCAAATGCTGGTTGTAGAAGTGATGTGCTGGGTGTATCATCAGGTTCACTATCTTCTGTGGGGCTGAAATGGCAGTAGTCTCATGAAGCTTATCTTACTCCCCAGTGGTGTGCACTTTCAAAAACTTTCTTCCCTAGTCTTTTATTCACTGGGTTGAACAGTTCAGGCTTCAGGTATATAGGAGGTGCCTACCAGTAAAAATCAGTTGAAGCTACTGATTTTTTAGCAAGGAAGGGAGATAACCAACACAGCTCTCATTTCAGGCCAGCATGAAAATTATCCACCTCTTATTCACAGTCCTGACCTGCTATTTCAGCTGTTCAGATCAGACAGCAACCTCTTTTCATCTGCAGGAATGCTGATGTTCCATGTAGAGAGGAATTATGACTATGCCTCTCGTGCAAGTCTGAGCCTGGAGGACACTCATCCTGTGGTATGCCGTCGCCCCAAAGTGATCCAGAAAAGCTGTCTGCAGACGCGCTCCTGCCAAACTCCTGTGGAAGAAGCCCCAGCTATGTTTTCAGTGGTGGGTCTGGGGAGAAGAAGTATCCTTTGGCAAAATCCTTCAAAAGTACCAGAGAGCCCTGGCTGTTGGGGTACACTTGCAGACTTTCCCCACTGAGCCACTTTACCTGTGCCTCTGCTGAAAGAAACTTCTCACAAGTGGAAAGTTGAGGGGCTGAAGGCCTGCAGTCTGATTTCTTTTGTTCTACAGGATACTCCCTTAATGTGATCAAAACTGCTTTTGCAAAGATTATAACCGAGGAAATTACGACAGTGAAAGAGATCAGACCTAACTGACTCCATCTTGCTTCTAATCTTGTTCAATATCCTTGTTAATTCCTGGGCATAGGTCGAAAAACCTTGTGAAGGAATTCAGTTTATGGTTTGACTCTGAAACAAAGCTGCTAACAGCCCTTTCTCGAAAAGACCTCCTTCTCACCCGGGAACTAGTCTGCCTTTGTAGGACTAACAAATTAGCTACAAGGTTAGAAATTACTGTTTAGGGGTCATGCAGCCTCTGGCTCCAAGAGTCTGAACCTCCCCACATTGCTCCTAGGAATAACGCCACTACTGTAAAACCTAAGATCAGGTTTTATTTTAAAATATCAGGTGATATTTTGCAGACCCTGCATTGGGTGGATCAACTGACACCACCCAGACCTGTAATCTGGCCCAACCAGTTCTGCGATCCTACTCAGGAACAGAAGATAGCAAGAAAACCTCATCTTGACCCCCTATGATTTCATTTCCAACCTGACCAATCAGCACTCCCCACTTGCCCAGCTCCTACCCACCAAATTGTCTTTAAAAACTCCCTATCCTGGAATGCTCAGAGGGACTGATTTGAGTAATAATAAAACTCTGGTCTCCCACACAGAATTACTGCATGAATTACTCTTTCTCCATTGCAATTCCCCTGTCTTGATAAATCGGCTCTGTCTAGGCAGCGGGCAAGGTGAACCCATTGTGCGGTTACATGGTGCCCTCCCATATGCCCTAGAAGTAGCCATTCCTGAGGGTCAGACTACTATGAATCCTGATGCTCCTCTATGTCTAACTGCCCAGCGGGGAAACCACATTCCAGGCTGGTGCTGGGGAATGTCTGCTAAGTATCCAATGATGTGGCCTGTTCTCTAGTCTCCCTGCAGTGGGTAACAGCACCAGCTCTGATGGGGGTGGGAGGGGGCTTACATAGACTCTGAGATTCCCTTAGTTATATATAGCCTTATTGTGTTGGTATTCTCAAAGGCCAAATTTAGTATTAATGTACTGGGCGTGTGAACAGACTCAAGACCTCCTGGTCAGCCAGGGTGATGCAAGAAATGGTGGTAACCGAGGCCATGCAAAAGTTTTCTCTTTCCTGAATGCTGTTATTCTGTCTGCAGATGCTGTAATGGACTGTGTTGGTTGGCCTCCAGCCAGGAGGTGGTGCTTGCAAAATAGTACCAGCTGCAGTGGTAGCAGTGGGGTTTGCGCTTGCCTTATGTTTCCCAGAGAATGTACTCTGGTGTCTCGGGCAAGGGGCGGGACCATGGAGCTCTAAAACATCCCTGTCTATTGTGTTGTACAACCAGAGCAGATGAAGGGGTAAAGCCAGAGCAGGTGGAGGCTGGGTCAGGCAAGTCCGTGCTCGGGCTCCCCATGTGCAAGCTCAGGAAGTGGCTCCAATGTGGATCAGAGGGCAGTTGCCTTGCCTCTGGGGTAATGTTCTAGGGAGGAGTGCAGCTTCTTCTGCTGCATAAAATAATCTGCACAGGGAGCGGTGGGTAGCCGGCAGCAGTAAGCTCCACTCAGCTCCCATGCACTTGGCAAGGCACATCTCACACTCACAGTGTTCTATTAGCAACAGCTAGCTGAGTTCCAGGCAGCCTCTACCCAGAACTCAAAACTGGTGGAGAACACAGCTTTCAGGCCATGCCCCTCCCAGTCAACCTATGAAGCAGGTGGCTATAAGCACACTTTCCGCTTGCTACTCCATTCTGGCTGATGGGGCTCATCCCCACTCAAGATCATATTGAAAATTTCAGCTGGGAGATTCTCTCAACCTGTGACCAACACCTGAGTTAGCTGGCCAACTTCCATGATGTCCCTTGTGAGGTGAGAATAGGAATGGCTCTGTACCCATTGGGGTCTGGGAGTGCATGCAAAGCACATCCTGATGCCGCTTCTTCTCCTATATTCCCCACCTCTCACTAAATCAGCTCCAGAGCCTGGAAGGGTTAACACCTTCACCTGTGGCCTAGATCGCCCAGCTCCCTGTGGGAGTGTGTGTCACAGCATCATCTCTCTCCCTCTCATGACCTGGAGACTCACACTTTTCTGTATGGCCCACAGTGTAGGCTGCAGCCCATTGCTTCTTTCAAAAGGCCTGTGGTTTCTTTGACTTTTTCTGTTAAGTTCCTGTGTTGCTTCATGGAAAACCGAGTTCACAGAATAAATCTTAACACACTATTTTTGCCTTTCCAAGTGGGAGAGGCAGGCAAACATTGACTCTAATCTACCATCTTGCGGGGGGGTGGGGATGGGGGTGGGGAACAGTTTTATCTTTAAAGTGACCAATAATGTCTCTCCAGGATAGAATAAAGCAATCTTTCATATAAGTAGCAGATTAAGAAAATGGCAACAAGGAATCTCACCAGATCTTCACAACTAGGTTAATTTTGTTATTGCTTTAAATCTCCTTAATAAAAGTAACTACTTAGACAATTTTTTTTTGTAGTTAACAACACACTTGCACAATATTCAGGGCAATCAGTATATATGCAAATTTAACTACTAATATATTCACTTCAATCAGTAAAGTATGCAGAAACGTAATAGTTGAAGTGTTCAGCTTAGGTAGTAAACAGTATGCAGCTGGCTCTATAAAAATAAAATATGACTATGACATAAAGAAAATTTACAAAACGTTTAAATCTCAAGACTGCTGTCCAGGTTTTCATCAACAATATAATTTGATAAATATGTTAATCAATAGCAAATCAGTGCAATTAACAGTTTGTTGGATTTTATTGCTTTCAATTTCAGTGACATCTCATATCAAATGAAACAATATCTCTTGTATCAAATGAAGTAATATGTATTTGTAAAATAAAAGGCAAAAAGAAAAAAGTAAAATAAAAATGAAAATAAGGGTTTCTAAAATGTTGAATATTTCTGCTCTACGTGTATAATCTTTTTGGGTACCAAATCCTAATGGCATATGCTCTAGAATAACAGTAATAAAACAACTATTTATATCTCCCCTTCCCTGATTAAGGCAATGCAAATGTAGGTTGTTAATATCTGGTATGTAAAATAAAACAGTTTAATATTTTTAGAGTTCACAAGATTGGAAACCAGATCATTTATTGAAACCAAGCTTATAAAAATTATAAGCCTAGAAATTGAATGTTATATGTAGCTATAAAAACTTAACTAACTATGCTGTCATGGGGGAAATCCTTTAACCTTGTTTATATATTTATTATTATTTATTTATTTATTTTCATTTTTTATTTTTCCATAAGTTATTGGGGTACAGGTGGTATTTGGTTACATAAGTAAGTCCTTTGGTGGTGATTTGTGAGATTTTGGTGCACCCTTCCCTGGAGCAGTGTACACTGCACCATATTTGTAGTCTTATCCCTCGCCCCCCTCCCACTCTTCCCCCCAAGTGCCCAAAGTCCATTGTCCATTACATCATTCCTATGCCTTTGCGTCCTCATAGCTTAGCTCCCTCATATCAGTAAGAACATATGATGTTTGGTTTTCCATTCTTTAGTTACTTCACTTAGAATAATAGTCTACAGTCTCATCCAGGTCACTGCAAATGCTGTTAATTCATTCCTTTTTATAGCTGCAAAGTATTCCATCTCATACATAAATATATATTCCATCATATATATATATTCCATCATATGTATATATTCCATCATCTATATATATTCCATCATATATATATATTCCATCATCTATATATATTCCATCGTATATATATCTCATATATATCATCATATATATATACACCATCATATATATATACACCATCATATATATATATACACCATCATATATATATATATATATATATATATATCATCATATATATATCTCTCTCTCACAGTTTCTTTATCCACTGATTGATTGACAGGCATTTGGG
Organism: Homo sapiens; assembly: GCF_000001405.40. Taxonomy (NCBI): domain Eukaryota; kingdom Metazoa; phylum Chordata; class Mammalia; order Primates; family Hominidae; genus Homo; species Homo sapiens. The sequence continues at coordinate 165,954 of NW_013171810.1, forward strand.
CTGGTTCTATGATTTTGCTATTGTCAATTGTGCTGCTATAAACACGTGTGTGCACGTATCTTTTTTGAATAATGACCTCTTTTCCTCTGGGTAGATACCCAGTAGTGAGATTTCTGGATCAAACGGCAGTTCTACTTTTAGTTCTTTAAGAAACCTCTACACTGTTTTCCATAGTGGCTATTCTAGTTCTCACCAGCAGTGTAGAAGTGTTCCCTGTTCACTGCATCCATGCCAACATCTATTGTTCTTTGTTTTTTTGATTATGGCCATTCTTGCAGGAGTAAGGTGGTATCACAATGTGGTTTTGATTTGCATTTCCCTGATCATTAGTGATGTTGAGCATTTTTTTCAATATGTTTGTTGTCCATTTATATATCTTCTTTTGAGGATTGTATATTCATGTCCTTAGCCCACTTTTTGATGGGGTTGTTTGATTTTTTTTTTCTTACTGATTTGTTTGAGTTCATTGTAGATTCTGAATATTAGTCCTTTGTCAGATGTTAGATTGTGAAGATTTTTTCCCACTCTATGGGTTGTCTCTTTACTCTGCTGGCTGTTCCTTTTGCCATGCAAATGCTCTTTAGTTTAATTAGGTCCTAGCTATTTATCTTTGTTTCTTTTGCATTTGCTTTTGGGTTTTTGGTCATGAAATCCTTGCCTGTGCCAATGTCTAGAAGGGTTTTTCCAATGTTATCGTCTAGAATTTGTTTAGTTTCAGGTCTTAGGTTTAAGTCTTTAATCCATCTTGAGTTGATTTTTGTATATGGTGAGAGATGAGGATCCAGTTTCACTCTCCTACATGTGGCTAGCCAATTATCCCAGCACCATTTGTTGGAAAGGGTATCTTTCCCCACTTTATGTTTTTGTTTGCTTTTTCAAAGATCAGTTGGCTGCAAGTATTTGAGTTTATTTCCGAGTTCTCTATTCTGTTCCATTGGTCTATGTGCCTATTTTTATACCAGTACCATGCTGTTTTGGTGACTATGGCCCTATAGTATAGTGTGAAATCAGGTAGTGCGATGCCTCCAGATTTGCTCTTTTTGCTTAGTCTTGCTTTGGCTATGTGGACTCTTTTTTGGTTCCATGTGAATTAAAAATATTTTTTTTCTAATTCTGTGAAGAATGAGGTGGTATTTTCATGGAAATTGCATTAAATTTATAGATTGCTTTTGGCAGTCTGGCCATTTTCACAATATTGATTCTACCCATCCATGAGCATGGGATGTGTTTCCATTTGTTTGTGTCATCTGATTCTTTTCAGCAGTGTTTTGTACTTTTCCTTGTAGAGGTCTTTCGAATCGAAAGACCTTATGTGTATTCCTAAATATTTAATTTTTTTGCAGCTATTGTAAAAGGGGTTGAGTCCTTGATTTGATTCTCTGCTTGGTTGCCATTGGTGCATAGAAGAGCTACTGATTTGTGTACATTAATCTTATATCCGGAATCTTTGTTGAATATTTTATCAGTTCTAGGAGCTTTCTGGAGGAGTCCTTAGGGTTTTCAAGGTAAATGATCATATCGTCAGCAAACAGTGACAGTTTGACTTCCTCTTTACCAATTTGGATGCCCTTTATTTCTTTCTCTTGTCTGATTGCTCTTGCTAGGACTCCCAGGACTATGTTGAAGAGGAGTGGTGAGAGTGGGCATCCTTGTCTTGCTCCAGTTCTCAGAAGGAACGCTTTCAACTGCTTTTCATTCAGTATTATGTTGGCTGTGGGTTTGACATAGATGGCTTTTATCACACTAAGGTATGTCCCTTGTATGCCAATTTTGCTGAGAGTTTTAATCATAAAAGGATGCTGGATTTTGTCGAATGTTTTTTCTGCATCTATTGAGATGATCATGTGATTTTTGTTTTTAATTCTGTTTATGTGGTGTATCACATTTATTGACTTGCATATGTTAAACCAACCCTGCATCCCTGGTATGAAACCCACTTGATGATTGTGGATAATCTTTTTAATATGTTGTTGGATTCAGTTAGCTAGTATTTTGTTAAGGATTTTAGCATCTATGTTCATGAAGGATATCAGTCTGTAATTTTCTTTTTTTGATTATGTCCTTTCCTGGTTTTGGTATTAGGGTGATGCTGGCTTCATAAAATGAATTAGGGAGGGTTCCTTCTTTCTCTGTCTTGTGGAATAGTGTCAAAAGGATTGGTACCAATTCTTTTTTGAATGTCTGGTAGAATTC